>NT_167250.2:0-300000 GCF_000001405.40 Homo sapiens | reverse complement strand
GGAAGGGGTCCAGTTTCAATCTTCTGCGTAGGGCTAGCCAGTTATCCCAACACCATTTATTAAATAGGGTGTCCTTTCCCCATTTTTTTTGTCAGCTTTGTTAAAGATCAGACAGTTGTAGGTATGCGACCTTATTTCTGAGTTCTCTATTCTGTCCCATTGATCCACGTATCTGTTTTTATACTAGTATCATGCTGTTTTGGTTACTGTGGCCCTGTAGCATAGTTTGAAATCAGGTAATATGATACCTCCAGCTTCATTCTTTTTGCTTACAATTGCCTTGGCTATTTGGGCTTTTTATTTTTGGTTCCATATGAATTTTAAAATACATTTTTCTAATTCTTTGAAAAATGTCATTGACAGTTTGATAAGAATAGCATGAAATCTACAAATTGCTTTGGGCAGTATAACCATTTTAATGATACTGATTCTTCCTACCCATGAGCATGGATTTTTTTTCCATTTGTTTGTATCATCTCTGATTTCTTGAGCAGTGGTTTGTAGTGATCCTTGTAAAGATATTTTACATCCCTGGTAAACTGTATTTCTAGACATTTTATTTTATTTTTTGTGGCAGTTGTGAATGGGATTGTGTTCCTGATTTGGCTCTTGACTTGGATTTTGTTGGTATATAGGACTGCTAGTGATTCTTGCACATTGATTTTGCATCCTGAAACTTTCCTGAAGTTGTTTATCCGGGCTATCGAACAGATAATGCTTTCTGTACTAACACTCCAGCTTCTATTCTACATTGTATGAACTTGGAATACCATAGTGGTTTCCTTTTTTTTTTTTTCCTATGTACTTCAGGATGGACCATCATCCTGAAAAACTCTTTTTTTTTTATTCTTGAAGTTTTAGGGTACATGTACACAATGTGCAGGTTTGTTACATATGTATACATGTGTCATGTTAGTGTGCTGCACCCATTAACTCATCATTTAACATTAGGTATATCTCCTAATGCTATCCCTCCCCACTGCCCCCACCCCACAACAGGCCCCAGTGTGTGATGTTCCCCTTCCTGTGTCCATGTGTTCTCATTGTTCTATTCCCACCTATGAGTGAGATCATGCGGTGTTTGGTTTTTTTTCCTTGTGATAGCTTGCTGAGAATGATGGTTTCCAGCTTCATCCATGTCCCTACAAAGGACAGGAACTCATCATTTTTTATGGCTGCATAGTATTCCATGGTGTATATGTGACACATTTTCTTAATCCAATCTATCATTATTGGACATTTGGGTTGGTTCCAAGTCTTTGCTATTGTGAATAGTGCCACTATAAACAGACATGTGCATGTGTCTTTATAGCAGCATGTTTCAAAATTCTTTGGGTATATACCCAGTAATGGGATGGCTGGGTCAAATGGTATTCCTAGTTCTAGAACCCTGAGGAATCACCACACTGACTTCCACAATGGTTGAACTAGTTTACAGTCCCACCAACAGTGTAAAAGTGTTCCTATTTCTCCACACCCTCTTCAGCACCTGTTGTTTCCTGAATTTTTAATGATTGCCATTCTAACTGGTGTGAGATGGTATCTCATTGTGGTTTTGATTTGCATTTCTCTGATGGCCAGTGATGATGAGCATTTTTTCATGTGTCTGTTGGCTGCATAAATGTCTTCTTTTGAGAAGTGTCTGTTCATATCCTTCGCCCGCTTTTTGATGGGGTTGTTTTTTTCTTGTAAATTTGTTTGAGTTCATTGTAGATTCTGGATATTAGCCCTTTGTCAGATAAGTAGAATGCAAAAATTTTCTCCCATTCTGTAGGTTGCCTGTTCACTCCGACGGTAGTTTCTTTTGCTGTGCAGAAGCTCTTTAGTTTAATAAGATCCCATTTGTCAATTTTGGCTTTTGTTGCCATTGCTTTTGGTGTTTTAGACATGAAGTCCTTGCTGTGAATCCGTCTGATCCTGGACTTTTTTTGGTTGGTAAGCTATTAATTATTGCCTCAATTTCAGAGCCTCTTATTGGCCTATTAAGACATTCAACTTCTTCCTGGTTTAGTCTTGGGAGAGTGTTTGTGTCGAGGAATTTATCTATTTCTTCCAGATTTTCTAGTTTATTTGCATAGAGGTGTTTATAGTATTCTCTGATGGCAGTTTGTATTTCTGTGGGATCGGTGGTGATATCCCCTTTATCATTTTTTATTGTATCTATTTGATTCTTCTCCCTTTTCTTCTTTATTAGTCTTGCTAGCAGTCTCCTAATTTTGTTGATTCTTTCATAAAACCAGTTCCTGGATTCATTGATTTTTTGAAGGGTTTTTTGTGTCTCTATCTCCTTCAGCTCCATTCTGATCTTAGTTATTTTTGCCTTCTGCTAGCTTTTGAATGTGTTTGCTCTTGCTTCTCTAGTTCTTTTAATTATGATGTTAGGTTGTCAGTTTTAGATCTTTCCTGCTTTCTTTTGAGGGTGTATAGTGCTACAAATTTCCCTCTACACACTGCTTTGAATGTGTCCCAGAGATTCTGGTATGTTGTGTCTTTGTTCTCATTGGTTTCAAAGAACATCTTTATTTCTGCCTTCACTTTGTTATGTACCCAGTAGTCATTCAGGAGCAGGTTGTTCAGTTTCCATATAGTTGAGCGGTTTTGAGTAAACAAAGTGGCTGGGAAGTTCGAACTGGGTGGAGCCCACCACAGCTCAAGGAGGCCTGCCTGCCTCTGTAGAGTCCACCTCTGGGGTCAGGGCATAGCCAAACAAAAGGCAATTGTGGGAGCCCCTCCCCCAGCCTCGCTGCCACCTTGCAGTTTGATCTCAGACTGCTTTGCTAGCAATGAGCGAGACTCCGTGGGTGTAGGACCTTCTGAGCCAGGTGTGGGATATAACCTCCTGGTGTGCCATTTGCTAAGACCATCGGAAAAGCACAGTATTAGGGTGGAAGTGACCAGATTTTCCAGGTGCCATCTGTCACCCTTTCCTTGGTTAGTAAAAGGAATTCCCTGACCCCTTGCACTTCCCAGATGAGGAGATGCCTCGCCCTGCTTTGGCTCATGCTCAGTGCACCGCACCCACTGTCCTGCACCCACTGTCCAACAATCCTCAGCGAGATACACCTGGTACCTCAGTTGGAAATGCAGAAATCATTCGTCTTCTGTGTCGCTCATGCTGGGAGCTGTAGACTGGAGCTATTCCTATTCGGCCATCTTGACTCCACCCTACCATAGTGGTTTTCATTTAGCATGTCCAATTAATGTTGGCTGAAGGGCAAATTTGCATACCTTCTGTTATACAATATTAGATTCAAGAAACATTTCCTAGTTAGATACAGTGTCCTTCAACCTTGACACATTCAGATAAAATAGATACTACTTCACATAAAGTATGTTCAAAAATACCAACTTTCCTATACATTTTCCTTTTCATTTCATTAACCTTTACTTAAGCTCCTTTAGGACTTTATCAGCAGGTTTTGTGTTACAATATTATCAATAGGCAGAACAAGTGTTTCCAGCCAGACATAAAGTCCATTTCATAAGACATTTAAGTTAAAAAGACACACTTTCTTTAAATTAAGCCTGTTTAAATATCACAAATTTCATAATTCTATTAATCTTTATATTTTTATGGTTTCTCAACCTAACTATAACCTCGGTCAAGGCTTCCCCAATGCATCTTGGTAGCATATCACATGGGGTCTTGTATTAAGGAGTCTCTGGAATTTCTGTTCCCTATCCCCTGACAGTCTTACACAAGGCTTTGGGTCAACAGCAGGGCCTTAAACCAATAAACCCTTTTTTTGTGTGTTAATTTTTATCTTGATTAATCTGCCTCAGCATTATCTGAAGAAATTATTAAGCAGCTTTCTAACTGTGATCTCTGCATTCCTGCTTTTTAAACTACTCCACACTGCGATAAATGAAACTGATTAGTTTGGGGCCCTTTTAGGTTGGATTAATTTCAAAAAGTCTCATTTGACCACCTTACCTCTCATAATGTTGTGTTGAGACCTTTTTTTAGCCATGTTAATTTTCATTTCATTCATCCCTTTTCTTAATAAATATCCAATAATTTTCACCCTGCTGGGAAGAGTTCCATGACTCTCTCCATTTCTTTTTCTCTCAGTCTCACTCCACCTATGTTTTTTCAGTTTACTTTATTTCTTAATAACTGTAAAATTTCCACCTTCAGTAAATTGAAAACTGTTAGAGCAGACAACAATATTTAAAATTTTTCATTTTTTAGTGCCTCAAATGTTGTTGTATCATTGAGCACAGCATCATGGTAAAATTCGGATGAATAAAAGGCATAAACTTATCTGGAAAAGAAAATTCTTTCAAGTGAGGGCATATGAAGATTCTCACCAAAGTGAACTTACAGTTGGTACAGTGTGTCTGCAGCCCAACTGTACCAGAAGTGTCCAGTCTCCCTCTTACCAAGACTGAGCTAGCTTGAGTCAGTTGAGCCCAGGGGTATCCTTCAAACACTACCTCCCTCTATGTACACCCACCTATGCAGCACTGGAGTGGACAGTTATTTCGTGCTTCATCTATGGTGGATGTTAAATTTTACCAATCCAAATAATATAAAAATGAATCACTGATTTGATTGGCAAATGCTTAATTATAAATCTAATCAACCATCTCTTTTTGTTTGTGATTCATTCAGGTGTTTTGTTCATGTACTGCACCCATTTTTCTCTTGTGGTACCGTCTACTGGTTCTTCTTTGGGATACAGAAGATACAAAGGGCAAATTTATAATTTGTTCAAATTCTAGAATCCTGAGTCATGATGACAGTGGCTCAGAGTGATTGGCAAAGGAACAAGATCAATGAAGTTCAGATAAACTGGTAAAAAAAAAAAAATGAGGAACCCTAGGTCAGAGAAGGTAAGCTCTGGAGCTGGATTGCTCACAGTGAGAACCTGCAGGAGGCAAGAGACAGGATAGAATAAAATTAAATTTGAGAGAAACACATTGAATCAGTTCAAAATATTTCAGTGAAGCATAGAATGAGTGGTTAAAACCAGGAAACCATAATGACAGAGCTTCAGAAGTAAAGCAGGCAATCAGGAGGGCTCTAACATGTGGTAATAGCAAATAACACTTTCATATTTTAATCAGCTTAATGGCAATTCCTACAGTATTAGGTGATTTCTGTTGGAAGCTCTATCAGTCAAGGTTCAGTCAGAAAAAGAGAAAGTTTACTAATTCACCTTATTGCAGGTTTTGTTCATTCTTTTATTCGTTCATTCGGTTCCATTTTATTTTGTGAACTCTATTACATTTTATACAATCAGTGACTGTATTTCTAATTTCCACAATTTCTAAATGTTCCTCTTTCTATTCATGCTTCTCACCCAATTCCATTTTTATGTTAAGTATTTTCTCATCTCTGAGAAAAAAAATTATTTTGATTTTTTCCTATATTTATAAACTTTGGGTGAAAATCTTACTATTGTGTAGAATTGGTTATTTCCTCATGTGGTTTTCATGAGTTAATCTTCAACAGCTGTTAATTTCTGCAAACTTTCATTTCCTGCATGTGTCTGCTGTCATCTAGAGAGATCAGTTTCATTATAATTTGTTTTAATTTTTTAGTTATTACAACTTACATTTTTTCAGAACAGAAATTCCCTGAACTCCGTAGGTAAATTTTGTTTTCCACTTTTAAGGCTTTTGCCACATTTTTTATCCTGCCAAAACCATCTTGTTATAGCTCCTATAAGAATCTATTCATATAATTTTCTCTAATGCTAACAACTGGTGTGTAAGTTTTCTCAGTTGTATACTTACCTGAGTATATTCTATGCCGTCTTCTCTTCATGGTATATGTGTTTGGAGCAGAAAAGGTAGTAAAGACTTGGGTCATGAATGATAAGCACAGTCCACTCCACTGAATGAAATTCTTAAATGTGTATATTTGAAAGGTAATACATTCTCTTTAAGTTTATAATTATTTTAATTGTATCACATTATATAGATACATATGATATATATACTTCAGAATTTGTGGAGATTTCATCTGTGACATTGCCTTAGTTTAATTTTATAAAAGTTTTCATGTGCACTTCAAAAGAATATTTATACTCTATTTGAAGATGCAGGATTCAGTACGTTATTTTTGTTACTTTTGTTGCTAATACAATCAACTTTCATAGAATTTATTTTCTCTGTTCAATCTATCAGTTTCTGAGATATATTTCAATCTCCAAATACTTATTATTGTTAATTTTAAGTGAATTATTTCTATCCACATGAAATGATTCACTTATCACATTTGATACTTCGCATCTTAATTCTGCTTTGTTTGATTTTTGTAGCATTGCATCAATTTTCGTTTATTTGCTATTGGGTATATGCCTCTTGTAAAATCTGTATATATTTTATAGTAATATGGGTAATTTTTATTAGGTGTTTCTCTTTTAAACAAAAATAAAAGCTAGATTGAAATATCTGAGAATCTCTACCATAATGGGTGAGTTTATTTAATTCTTTTTTAAATTGATATATAACTATTACATGACATTAAATGAAAATAACTTTTTACATTAAATTATTAGTTTGAGCTTATCTGTAAATATTTACTATTTAGATTTACCATGTTTTAGCTTACTACACTCTCCATTTTCTGTATTTTATGGAAATGATAATTTATTTATTCTCTTAAGCTGTTAATGAAAAGTTATGCATAGATACATTTCCAAAATGTCTATGCGTAAATGGCCTAGAAGTAATAATATCCCAGATGCAATGAACATGCTAAGTACTTGAAATTTTGCTTCTAGACACTATACTCCAATAAAACGAACCATGCCTTCCTCAAGATATAAATGACATTACCCCTGAGGCAACAAAAGTACAGGATGTGCCTGAAATATCTAGGGGTGCCAGAAAGTAAATAAGTATACAACATGATGACAACATATCAGAAAAATATAGAAGGAAACTGAAGGAAGTCCCAATGAATCGAATCTGGACCAATTTGAGCAATGGAATAATGAAAGCTGTGGATTGTAACCTTTGGAATAAACCAAATACTCATGAAATCATATTGACAGAAACCAGTATAAGGAAATAAAAGGGAAAAAATGTTCTTTCTTAGAGTAGAATTTCTCTTACTAATTGTTAAAGAAATTATAGACATAGAAATAATCATTAGACAAACTCCACAGTAATTTAATTCAGGCAAAAATTATCTTTGAATGGATGCTAAAATTAGAGGGAAAGGATGTAATGGAAACAGGATATTTACAGTCTCAAAGTCTCCTATCAAGATACTTCTAATTCCAAAATGAGAAATTATAATTTTACAGGGAATAAACCTGTAGACAGCATCTTAACCAAGAAATCAAAGTTAGTATCACCAGCATGACAAATCAACACTATCTGCTGCCCAAAAATGATGTAATGTGAAGACTACAACAACATGTCTGCAGTATTCTTTCAAAAAATGTGTGATAGCAACTTAATCATGAAGGAACATTAAACAAATGTAAAATAAGAATCATTCTACAAAACAACTGGTCAATAATTCATCTAGAAGTCAAAAATTAACAGAGACAAAAAATGAAGGGATAATTACAGACTAAAGGAAACTAAAGACATGAAAATGAAATGCACTAACCCTTACTGTATTACATAATACGTTCCTCTTTGCACTTTCCACACAAAAACTAGAGAGTTTTTCCTTAAAGAAATTGAAATAAATTCACCAGGGTAAAATGAGAAAACTAGAATTGATGTAACACATCAAAGTATAATCTTTTTTATGAAATTTTTGGTTCCCTTTAGGTAAGGTCTAGTAGTTGTACGCGTTCAGCATAAAAATCAAAGCCAACCAGATACTAAGTCCTTCACAGATACAAAGATATCCCAGTGAATCATTCTATGTCCTCATTCTTAAATATATAGATAGATGATAAATAGATAATAGATAGATAGATAGATAGATTAGATAGATAAATATATAGATAGATAGGCAGACAACATTTGAAAAAAGAAAATAAAATGACAGATTAAAGCCAAGATAAACAAACAAATACATGGAGATTTGTGCACACACACACACACACATGAACCAGAATAATTAACCCAGAAACAGAAAACTAAATACTATGTGTTCTCACTTAAAAGTGGGAGCTAAGCTTGGGGTACACATAGACAAAAATGGGAACAATAGACAGTGGGGACTACTACAGAGGGAAGAGAAGGGCAGAAGGCCTGAAAAACTATTGGGTACTATGTAAAAATGTATACAATATGCATTCTATGCCATTACAATCATTTTATCAAAATATGTATAATTACAGTGTCAGCTATAATACAAGAATTGTCGGAAACTGAGAAACAAAATGATGAATAGAACTAGATCACAATTTTTATGCAGGATGAAAAGGAATATACAATAAGATTAAAATTATCTAAATAAACATCACAGTGAATTATATAAATAGAATAAAAACCATAATAAAAGCATACAAATTTAAATCAGGAATAGCTCTAGACAGAGAGTATGAGGGAAATTTAATTTTTTTAAGCTTTTCATACTTTAATATTTTGTACACTGATATATTATTTTCATGAAGATATCCCAGAATGAGATCACTGATGAGTGTATAAACAGACAATATGCTACCTCAATATTGGGTGGATGAAGAAGACTCTGGGCAGCGAGGCATTGAGAAAAAACATCAAACACAAGTTCCATTAAATGTGGCTACAGGTCTGAAAGAAAAATAATCTTGAAAACCCAAAGTCACTAAGTCAAAGGGAAGTCAAGCTGGAAACTGTATCAGCCAAACCTGCCTCCCATTTTATTCCTAAATAAAATAGCTACAAAGTTGGGTTTTTGTTGTTGTTGTTGTTGTTGTTGTTTTTAAGTTACATACCTCCCTTACAATCTTCCCAAGAGGAAATTCCTTGTGGGCCTCAAAATCTTTAACCTGAAACATTTCTGTTGAATTTCACCCTGGAAATGTAAATTGATAGCTTATCTTCACAGGTGAGGGACAAAAGAGGACAGAACTCAAAGCCATCCCTTCACCATTGTTTATGGAAAAAATGCAGATTTACTGAGTCAGACTAAGGCATAAGTGACTATTTCTCAACCCTTCTCTCATATGTATACTGTGTATTCAGCAAAAGGCTCATCTAAGACCCAAAAAAGAATGCAACCTTTTAACTCTTATCTATGACATGAAGGCATCACTTTGAATTGCCCCACCTTTCCTGACCAAACCAATGTACATCATACGCATATTGATTGATGTCTCATGTCTGCTAAAATGTGTAAAACCAAGCTGTGCCCCAACCACCTTGAGCACGTGTCATTGAGACTTTCTGAGGCAGTGTCATGAGCATGTCCTTATCCTTGGCAAAATAAACTTTCTAAATTGAGAACTGTTTCAGATACTTTGTGTTCACACAGGTAACGAGTCACACAGAATACCTGGGAGCCCCAAGAACTACCTGGAATAGTAGTACAGTGACTCTCCAATTAAAACTAATGTCATAAGGCTCAAATTATATTTTTGAAAAATACTTGGCAAAATATGTTGTGCATACACAAACTTTAGGATTTCTTTTTTTAAACAAGTTTTTAAAAGAAAGTTTACCTCCCATGTTTAGGATCTGAAAGTATACCGGTTATGTCAGAATGGGTTCATCATTATTTTACAGAGAAAATAAATAAATAATAAATGGAAAACAAAAGAAACAACAACAACAAAAAGATGGGTATTCAATTTTGACATTATATACTGAAAACTTTTGGCGCTACATTTCTCTTTCTCTTTATTTTGTCTTGATAGGCGTATGCACTGAGCAATGTGGAATTACACTATGCATTTACATTTACAAATGAGAACATAAGGGAAACCACAATTCAGAGTAATTCTCAATAAATTTCAAGCAAACACATATTCAACAAGGGCTTTATATTGTGTGAATGAGCTACTCAAGATAGTGAAGAGATCTCCACTGGAAAAATGACTGGTAGATTCTTCCACTGAGGATTAAGTGCCCCTGTGAGACACAGAAAAGTGATGATGAGGGTCCCTCACAGGCAGTTATAGGTAGCACATCAGTTGTTTGTTTGGTTTGTTTGTTTTGTTTTGTTTTGAGATGGAGTCTCGCTGGGTCGCCCAGGCTGGAGTGCAGCGGCACAATCTCGGCTCACTGCAACCTCCACCTCCCGGGTTCAAGCAATTCTCCTGCCGCAGCCTCCCGAGTATCTGGGATTACAGGTGTGTGCCACCACGCCCAGCTAATTTTTGTATTTTTAGTAGAGACAGAGTTTCACCATGTTGGCCAGGATGGTCCCAATCTCTTGACCTGGTGATCTGCCCATCTCGACCTCCCAAAGTGCTAGGATTACAGGTGTGAGCCACCATGCCTGGCCAGTAGCATATCATTTTATGCAGTGTGATTTCAGGAAAAAAAGTGTCTTAGTAATATTTAAACAATGACCTGAGAAATACAATCACTCAGTTATGTAACTATATACTGCATAATTCTGTATTATAAATGGGATTCTCAGGACTAGTTCACAGAAATTTCACACCACAGTATCAGACTCTTGAATCTCCATCATTATTAAACTTCAGCTTTTAAAGATTTTTTTTTAGGGAAAAAGACATAATCTGACAAGTTTTAAATGAGGTATAAAGAATTACAGAGCTAAAGAAATAGACATATAAAATTATTTCAATAGTAACTTTTCCTCACTGCTCATAGCCAGGTAATGGTTCCAATGACTCCCAACTAAAAATACTCTACAGAAAGAACAAACAAACAAACAAACAAAAAACCCTGCCTTAATAGACACAAGGAATTTAGTAGAACTACAACATATGGAATTAAACACAACAAATGCCACCTTCCAAGAACCCATATTAGTAATTACAGTATTGTAAATGAAGAGTCTGGGTATAATATTTTCTAGCATTGTCTCCTTCTTCTATAGTGTCATAGTTGTTTTTCATCTTTTCCTTTTACAGACACACATATTTACACAAATAGCCATAACAGATGCCATGTATATCATATTCCATAACTTCTTCCAAAGAAAGAGATTAGGTCAGTTAAAAAATAGCCATTACTCCAAAAATTTCTGATAATGCTTGATTTTCTCTTCTTAGATGTATGTACTAATCTTTTCTATAGTGTTTGCTATGCTGACACTCTTTTGTGATAGAACAAATTCTTCACAGAAAATGGAAGAGTTTGTGCAGAGCTCTGGAGAAAATGGTGTCGTGGCAGTCTTGCTTAAGTCTATGGTCAGTAACATCACAGAAGAAAGGGCCAACGTGATTGCATCAGCTCTTGCCCAGATTCCACGAAAGGTTAGATAAAATGTCTTAATGGTGGACAGCTACTGAATGAGTCTGTTAAACTCTGTAAAGAGTCCAATCACAGAAATTTTCTGCCAGAAAAACTAACTGATATGATAGCTCTAATTATCTCAGATATTGGTTCAAAAACAAAAATATATATGGAAGATACTAAAATAACGAGGGTGTGTTTGATTGATAAAAATTCTGACATTAATATTGTGATCAGAAAAAATATATTTAAGAGGTGCAGGTGAAGTTGTGGTATTATCATAGTATTGTAGGCATGTACATAGAAATCACCAAATTCTGCCCTGTCATTTGTCCCTTTTGCTTACAAGTTTCCTGAGAACATGGTATACACTATAGATATTATTTAAAATCACTTACATTTTAATCAGTTACTGCACTATTACAATAACAATAAGGTATTGAAAAAAGTCTGAAATGCATCATTCAATTTAGGCTTGCTAGGTAATCTGGTCTCCTGTACTTCCTGTACATTTTGGAATAGACCTATTTAGTAGGCAATTCAGAATGCATTCAGAGAAAAGATGTCCAGGCTGACAAACCGCTATTCTGGAGGTATCCACCTAGCCAAGTAGATTTAGAGAAGCAGAAGAACTTGCCTGCCCTGTTTACTGGGCCTTGCTAATGTCTTAAACAGGAAAATATGATAGAAAAGGAGGGAACAGAATCCTGCTTTTAGGGTAGACTCCGTGCATTATAAAATGTGGTCCCATAAAGCCTCTGCTCTAACCATCAGAAAAACACCTCCTCCCAACGGAGGAAGGAGAAGGGAATATAAGAAGGAGTCAAGCAGAAGGAAGCCAGGCATGGAAAGAGGTTCAGATGCCCTCACTCCATGAAATATAGTAGGAACTTATTTTGTAGTATGCAGAATACACTTGAAGTCTTTGTGTATTTGTGAGTTACTTTTTAGTTTCCTCTCTGACATAGCCTTCTCCTAATGACCTATGCTAATTTTTTTCTGGAAACACAAAGTTACTTTAACACTCACATAGCAAATACAAGGAAAACACTTGTAAATTACACTCCAGTTTATAAGGATTGCTTGGGGAATCTAAAATCAGTATCTTATTTTGGTACTGTCTATGGGTATGGCTTGGCTAAAGCAGCCCATATTAATCTATGCTGTCGATGCTTTATAGCAGCATCTAAGTGTTAATGATCAGTTAAGCAAAATTTAGCAAAATATAATTTTACAATTTTTAGTGTGTATATTCTTATTCATAAATTGCCAATTGGCTCTTTTCGCCTACATTGGAAGAATTTCCAAAACTAGCAAAATGATAGTACTTTGAATTTGACTCAGAAATTGCCACTTGCACTTTGGGATGCCTAGGTGGGCAGATCACTTGAGGTCAGGAGTTCGAGACCAGCCCGGCCAACATGGTGAAACCCCGTCTCTACTAAAAAATATAAAAATTAGCTGGGCATGGCAGTGCATGCCTGTAATCCCAGCTACTTGGGAGGCTGAGGCAGAAAAATCGCTTGAACCCAGGAGGCGAGGGTTGCAGTGAGCTGAGATGGTGCCACTGCACTCCAGCCTGGGCAACAGAGCAAGACTCCATCTCAAAAAAAAAAAAAAAAAGAAAGAAAAGAAAAAAGAAAAGAAAAGAAAGAAATTGTCACTTGAAATTTTTCTTGGATGTAGTGCTGGGTAATGTGTAATCTACAAGAAGTTATATGTACTACCTATGTAGCACTGATTTATTTCTCACAGGTAGCTGATTTTATAGATTTTGTTTTTTATAAATCAAAGATGTCAAACACTAACAAAATAACTTACAGAAAAATATATATAAGTAACACTTCTCATTTCACTCAAGAAATAAACTAACATTAAATTTGGAAGATTACAGGTAGTATAAAATACATAAAATAAATGTATAGGTTGTCACTAATTTGTTACTGTATTTTACAGTAGAATTATAATGACTGTCTAATAATTTCTTAAATTTTTGAATTTTTTATTGATACTCTCAAGTGTCTAAGCTTCTCTGTTGAAAACATCATGATTTTCTAATATACCAAATTGATAATAAAAGACATGAAATGTGGATATTCAATAGTCTTTTAGTAGTACTCATTTCCTAAAATTGCTTGTTCTCGTTTTTTCATCTATTATATGGAAGGGGTTTAACTAGCTGATTGACAATTTCTTTAGAGTTCTAACATCTTATAGCTTTGGCATTCTACTCATGGAACAAGATATTTTCTTTACCCCAACAGGTTCTGTGGATGGAAAGAGACCAAATACTTTAGCATCCAATACTCAGCTGTACAAGTGGATATCCCAGAATGACCTTCTTGGTAATACTCTGCAGAACAAATACTGAATATATGACTAACAGCTAATTAGAAGGATAGTTCAACCTGAAAGAAACTTACGGAACATTTATTATCAAAAAACTCAAATATAAAGGCTAACTACTTTATATTTATTTTCCAGTCTTACCAGGAAAATAACTATATAGTTGGTATTTTATTATAGACACTCACATTCTTTATGTTCAGAATCAAATTATCTTTATTTCAGATATAATTACCTCTCACGGGGTTTCCCAATAACTTCCTGGATTGTCTCTCTGTCTCCTATTTGTACAGCTTTACACCTGTCCTTTTCCCTACTTCAGGGTTAATTTCAAAAGACACTAAAAAATAACAGTGCCTCTTTTATTACCAATAACTCTGCATTTTCTGAAAATAAATACTCAATCTTTTTTTTTTTTTGAGATGAAGTCTCACTCTTGTCCCCAGGCTGGAGTGCATTGGCATGACCTTGGCTCACTGCAACCTTCACCTCCCAGGTTCAAGCGATTCTCCTGCCTCAGCTTCCCGAGTAGCTGGGATTACAGGCACCTGCCACCAAGCCTCTCTAATTTTTGTATTTTTAGTAGAGACCAGGTTTCACCATGTTGGCCAGGCTGGTCTCGAACTCCTGACCTCAGGTGATCCACCCACCTCTGCCTCTCAAAGTGCTGGGATTATAGGCATGAGCCTCCGCACCCGGCCTAAATCCTCAATCTTTATCATAAAGTGATAACACGTTTCCTGATGTAATGTGGCCTGCCTTTCTTCTATTCCAATACCACCACCACACTCCCTGTTGCCTTGCATACACCACATATCCCACTCAGACCGCAGTATGTATTTAAGGGAAAATGCTCTAACATACACAATATTATTGATTTTCTTTTCTCTTTTTTTTTGCACATTTTTTTCATTCAGAATGTGCTTTTTCATTTTGTCCACCTGGCAATATCAATTCATTTTTTGAGTCTGAAGTCACACACGCCCCCACCTCTTCATGTAGCCTTCACTTACCTCCAGAAGAATTAGGTGCTTCTTTCTCTGAAATCTGAAAGCAATTCTAATGGAGTTTGATGTGTATAATAATCTGTTATTTAGTAGACACTGCCCCTTTCAGAGCATTCTATTGTGCATTTCTCATTTTAGTCTTATGAATAATTTTGCTAAAATTTATCCAATCCTAGGTCATCCAAAAACTAAATCTTTTATGACTCATGGTGAAACCAGTGGCATCTATGAGGCAATCTACCATGGGATCCCTATGGTGGGCATTCCTTTGTTTGCAGATCAACCTGATAACATTGCTCACATGAAGGCCCTCAATGTGGACATCAGGACCATGTCAAGTACAGATTTGCTCAATGCACTGAAGACAGTCATTAATGACCCTGTGTGAGTATGACAATTTTTTTTACTATGTGGTATTTACAGATTCTTTTGACAACACTGAATACATGTCTTACCCCTTTTAGGAGACCAATTTTGAAAGAATTTAAATAATTTAACCAACTTGAAACCTGCTTTTATTTTTCACCAATTATTTTAGTTACATTTGATCCCATATATTTAATGGGTCACCAATTACTGTAACAACCTTCTACACACAAATATTTTTAAACATATATAGATAATTGTTTAAAATATAAGTTTTTTGAATGATGGATTATAATACAATGAAATAATGAACTTGGAGAAATAAAATAAAGTATTTCAATTCAATACATAAAATTTCTGAAAGTATAACTGTATTCATGCTCAATAATGTATTTTTAGTATTATCATTATTTTAAGATACAATTTGCATAGCATAATATTTACCTATTTAAAAGTGAGATCTAAAAGTAGTTAGTACATTTACATAGTTACAAAGCCATCACCATAATATAATTTTTGAACATTTTTATCACCCTAAAATAAACCTCAAAATGCATAAAATCACTGTTGATAAACCTCCAGTCCTAGGGAAATATCAACTTACTTTCTCAATAGATTATTCTCTCTGGATATTTCATGTAAATTAAATCATACAATTTACAGTGTTCTATAAATGATTTCTTTGACTTAGTACAATGTCTTTTATTAGTTTCACCCATATTGTTGAAAGTGTCAGAACATTTTTTCTTTTTATTGCTAATATTCTTTGATGAATGTACCATTTTGAATTTACCCATTTATCAGCTCTCAGACATTTCAGTTATTTCCAATTTTAGCTCTTATAAACACTGCTATACATATTTTTTGTGAAAAAAGTTGTTTTCACTAATTTTGAGAAGATACTAGGAGTGGAATTTCTGAGCCATATGGAAAGTTGATGTTTATGAAGAACTGCTAAACTGTTTTTCAAAGTACTTGCACCGTTTTTCGTTACTTCTAGCTGTACAGGAGGGTTCCAATTTCTTCATGCTCTTCCCTACACTTGTTATCTCCTATCTTTTTGTTACAGGGATCCCAGTGGATATAAAATGATCTTTCATTGTGGATTTAATTTGCATTTTCCTTGTGGCTAAAGACATAACCATCTTTTCATGCACTTACTGGCAAGTCATTCGTCTTCTTTTGAGAAAATTTTATTCCTATCTTTTGAACATTTCTAACATTTTTATCTTATTATTCATTCATAAGAATTATTTTTATATTATTGGTGGAATGCCTTGTCAGTCTATGATTTTTAAATATTTTCTCCCACTCTTTATAGGTTGATTCTTTTTTTTTACTTTATTGAAGATGTCCCTTGAAGCACAAAGTTTTAATATTGAGAAAATAAATCTGTAATAATTTTTCTGTGCTCCAAAAGAAATAATGTAGAAAATGCTGTGACTATTGATTACTATTATCAATATATATATGGAGGTACCACCTTAGAAAATATACTGAAAATACCTTACCAGGAAGATAATAAGACAGTGAATGATTAAAAATAGTTTAAAAGCAAACAGGAAAGAATTAGAAAAGAAACATACAGCAGATTGGAAAACAGAAAATAAAATACAGAATAAGATAGTAGATTTAAAAGTAAATCTACTAGAACTCATACTAAATTTAAACAGAGAAAAAAAAGTGACTTAAAAA
Organism: Homo sapiens; assembly: GCF_000001405.40. Lineage (NCBI taxonomy): Eukaryota > Metazoa > Chordata > Mammalia > Primates > Hominidae > Homo > Homo sapiens. Next base: position 283,315 of record NT_167250.2, on the reverse strand, counting down.
TAAACATTTGAAGAGCATAAATATAACCTATTGTATATATGTGTGTGTATACATATATATGTATTGTGTATATATATAGTAAGTTTGTGTATATGTGTGTATATATATATATACACACACATTTTTATGTGTGGAGGTGTGGAGGTGAGTGTGAATGTATATTGAGAATATACGTTTATTAAGAGTATATGGAATAGTTAGTGAATTGAACTTCTGCTGGGCCAAAAATCAGGACTTAGCAAATGTGATAAGATTCGAAAGCATAAAAAGGAAATGCTCTAGCCATACTAGAAATAAATTCGAAATTATCCAAAAAATTATAACTTAAAAAACAACTCTAAATTTTGGAAATTAAATTTGTGTATTTAAAAAGCTAGTCAACAAAACATCATAATTCTACATGCATCTTTTTCTCAGCAACTCATCTCTCAAGTATATACCCATCAAAAATGTATTAATATGTATATCTAATGATATACACACATTTGCTTACTCCAGAATTAGTAATAGTGTTCAAAAATCTTAACAACCCAAATATCCATCAGTCATAAAAATAGGAGATAATCTGTGGTATTTGTCAATTGACTGAATCATATTACAGCAATGGAATTAGCCAATAACTTCTACCCAAAAAAAGACACAAATGAGTATATATTATATAATTCATTATGTAAACAAGCAATATTAATCTATTAGAAGTCAAGGTAGTTTTAACTTGAGGACAAAAGTAGTGACTAAAATGGCCCAAGAAGACAGAGTTTTTCTAGGCAGGTTGTGATGTCTTATATTATAATCTGCGTAGTAGGTAAGTTGGTGTTCACATCAGGATATTGTTCAAGGTAATGTTAAAATTTTGAGCTATTCACTGAATTTGTGTACATTTATGTATTTTATACTTAAAGTTTTATTTGAGAAGACATGTAACATATTTTTAAGTTCCAGGAGTTAAACAGCAAAATAAGCACAAAACAATAGAGGAAATCCTACAGGTACTACCATAGTGTGGCCACGAAAAGCCTCTTTAACAGGTATTATTTAAGGGGAAGCCTCAAAAAGATATAGAAGCAAGCCTCAAGTTGTTGCAAGGAGGAATATTCCAAGAGAGGGAGAGAGGGGATAAAGGGTGTAAAGGGGCTCAGGTGAGAACACATTGGGGAGCTCAAAGAACAATAGAAGGGCAATGCCTCTAGGAGAGAAGGTGGTTGGGGAAAGTGTTAGAAGAAGTTGCCCATGCCTGACCATGTAGGGTTCTGTAGAACAAAGACAGATTTAGATTTTATTCTTAATATAGTGAGAAGCCAGGTGAAAATCTTATCAGAGGAATGCCATAATCTGGCTTTTATTTCAAAAAATTATTCTGACTACTGAGAGGAAAATATGGTAGAACACAGAATAGTAGGGTAGAAAGAGAAAGACTAATTTAGAAATATTACACCAGCTGTGAAACAATTTTTCCTTAAAAATATCAAAATGGGTCGATAAAGGTAGTTCACACCTGTAGTCCCAGAAATTTGGAAGGCTAAAGCAAAAGGATCACATGAGCCCAAGAGTTTGAAACCATCCTGGGCAAACTGGTAGGACTCCATCTCTACAAAAAAATATTTAAAAATTACTGGGCAAAGTGGTGCATGCCTGCAGTCCCAGCTACTCAGGAGGCAGAGGTGGGAGGATTGTTTAAGCCCACACTGTGGAGGCTGCTGTGACCCATAATCATGCCACTGCACTCCAATCTGGGCCGTAGAGAAAGACTCTTTCTCAAAAAAAAATAAAATAAAATATCAAGATGATCAATCTCAGATTGCATTTCCACTGTCTTACCTGTAGCACATAGAATGGCTCAAAATATTTCCTCTGCTACAAAGACATTAACTTTCTCATCAGACCTTCCATTTTTAATTTAAGACATATTTTTCTTTATAAAATTCCATTTTAAAAAATAAACTTTCTACATTTGTCCAAACCAAAACATTCGATTCCTATGACAATTCTATAATATTTACTTTGAAGCATTGATGTGACACTTTTCAAAGACCATCCATAGACTTAGGAAATAAATTTACTTTCAATGTTGGTATTTTTATGTTTATCCTTCAGCTACAAAGAGAATGCTATGAAGTTATCAATAATTCGCCATGATTTGCCAATTAAGCCCCTGGATCAAGCAGCCTTCTGGATTGAGTTTGTCATGCAGCACAAAGGAGCCAAGCACCTTCGGGTTGCAGCCCACGACCTCACCTGGTTCCAATACCACAACTTGCATGTGATTAGGTTCCTGCTGGCCTATGTGTCAACTGTGATCTTCATCATCACAAGATGTTGCCTGTTTTCTTTCTGAAAGTTTGCTAAAACAGGAAAGAAGGAGAAAAGGGATTAGTTACATAAAAGGCTTGAAGCTGGAATGACCAAAAGATAGAATTCCTTCAGTTAATTCCAGCATGAAGAGGTTGATACAGAGGATTTCCTTCCTCCTGTGACAAAACATATTTTTATAACTTACACTGTTAGGTCAAAATTTATTTTCCAGAGATTTAGTACCTATTTAAAAGTTAGAAATATTCTTAGTCAAATACTTAAAAACAAGGAAAAATAAAAAATAATGTAAAACCATATGGGTTTATGTGAAATACATTATTCTATTCACAAGTGGCACATGCACAAAAATTACTGAGCTGTGTTTCACACTTTATACATTGACCCAATATTAAGACATCCGTTCACAATATTAATACCATTTTGCAAATACTCAGAATTCTTTGGTTTCATTTTCAGCAGAATTTTGTTGTTTTTACTGTTGCAAAGAAACTACTCAATAATTAAATTGTGAAGAAAGTCTCACTCTTCCTTTTGATATTACAAGACCAGTAGTGTTGCTTGGCTTTTACTATGTTCAAGACTCAGCATTGCTTCTTTCCTAAAAGAAATGACAAATTTATCCCTAGATTTAAGGATAATAGAACACACAAAAATGAGCAAATGTGACATATCACCTTAACCCAATGATGCATAAAAATCACTTGATATATCAGTAAATGCAAAACAAAGCATTTGAAAAAAATCAATTGTTTATGAGTTTTTAAAAGAGAGCTCTAAACAAACTAGAAATAGAAATGATATCGGGGGAACAAGCCCCCAATATTTCAATGTAGGTCTTTTCTATTTTCCCTAATTGGTGACTGGTCTGAGAAATAAAGAGTAAGAGTAAAAAGAGAGAAATTTTACAGCTGGGCCTCCAGGGTTGACATCGCATATTGGTAGGACTGTGCAGACGACCCTGAGCTGCAAAACCAGCAACTTTTTATTAGGGATTTTAAAAGAGGAGGGGGTGTATAAACAGGGAGTAGGTCACAAGGATCACATGCTTCAAAGGGCCATATAGATCACAAGGCAAAGGCAGAATTAGAATTACTGATGAGGCTCTATGTCCTGCTGTTCCCATATTGTTTTTATAAACATCTTAACAGGAAACAGGGTTTGAGAGCAGAGAACTAGTCTAGCTAGAATTTACCAGGCTGGAATTTCCCAATCCTAGTAAGCCTGAGGGTACTGCAGGAGACCAGGGCATATTTCAGTCCTTTTCTCAACCGCATAAGACAGACACTCCCAGAGTGGCCATTCATAGACCTCTCCCCAGGAATGCATTCCTTCCCCAGGGTTACTCCTTGCTGGGAAAAGAATTCAGCGGTATTTCTCCTCCTTGCACATCCATTTATAGGCTTTCTGCAAGAAGAAACATATGGCTTATTCTGCCCAACCCCTCAGGCAGTCAGACCTTATGGTTATCTTCCCTTGTTCCCTGAAAATTGCTGTTATTCTGTTGTTTTTCAGGGTACACTGATTTCATATTGTTCAAACATATATGTTTTACAAACAGATGTCATATTGTTCAAACACACATGTTCTACAACCAATTTGTACAATAGTGGTCCTGAGGTGACATACATTCTCAACTTATGAAGACAACAGGATTAAGAGATTAAAGTAAAGACAAGCGTAAGAAATTATAATAGTATTATTAGGGAAGTGATAAATGTCCATGAAATCTTCACAATTTATGTTCAGAGATTGCAGTAAAGACAGGCATAAGAAATTATAAAAGTATTAATTTTTGGAACAGATAAATGTCCATGAAATCTTCACAATTTATGATGTTCTGCCTCAGCTCCAGCCAGTCCCTCCATTCAGGGTCCCTGACTTCCTGCAACAAGAAATAGAAGGAAATTATCTTAACCTGATAAAGGCAATATATGAAAAGCTCATAGCTAACATCATACTCAATGATTAAAAAAAAACTGAAAACTTTTCATCTGTTTTCACAATAAGGAAAGGATGTTCACTCTTGCTGCTTCTATTATACACCATACTGGAAATCCTAGCCGGAACAATTAGGCAAGAAAAAGAAAAAAAGCAACAGGCTTCTGAATCAACAGTAAAATAACCTCTGTTTGCAGAGGACATGATATTATATGTGGAAAACCCTAAAGATGCCACCAAATATTATTAGAACAAGTGCATAAATTCAGTAAATTTGCAGCATATAAAATCAGCATACAAAAATCACTTACCTTTCTGTGTATTAACAAAGAACTATCAGAAAAGGAAATTAACAAAACACTCCAATTTGCAATGGCCTCAAAAAGGACAAAATACATAAGAATAAACTGTAACAAGTGGAAGAAAGACATGTATACTAAAAACTACAAAACACTGATGAATGAAATTAAAGATTATACTAATTTAGAAAGACATAGTATATTGACCGGAAGATTTAATGTTACAGAAACATCTATACAACCTAAAGTGATTAACATATTAAATGTAATCTCTATCGAAACACCAATGACTTATACAAAGACAAAAAAATCTTAAAATGTATAATGATCCAGGAAGAAGTAACTAGCCAAAACAATGTGGGAAAAGTAAAACACAGTTATAGGGCATCACATCTCCTTATTTCAAAATATATTAAAAGCTACAGTTATTAAAATAACATGATATTCACATAAAGACATAAATAGAGAGAGATTTAAGTAACAGAATAGAGAGCCCAGATGATAAAGTCACAAATATACAATGCACTTATATTCAATGAGTCTCAAATATACTCAATAAATGTCACTCTCTTCAAGAAACGGTACTGCATGAGAACACCAGATGTCCACATGCAAAAGAATAAAATTGGACCCTTAGTTTATGTCATATACAAAAATCAACACAAAACAAATGAAAGACTTAAACATAAGCCCTGAAACTATAAAACTCTCACAATAAAACACGGAAAAAGTTTTATGACATTGGGCTGGGCAATGGTCTATTGGGTATGACCTCAGAAGTACAGGTAACAAGGTCAAATATATGAAAGTAGAATTGCATCAAACTAAAAAGTTTCTGCAGAGCAAAGAAGTCAACAGAGTGAAAAGATAAAATGGGAATGGGAAACACTTTCAAATCATATATCTCATGAGAGGTTAACACCTAAAATATATTAGGAACTGCAACAACTCAATAGCAAAAAGAGAAAAAAAGCCATGATTAATAAATAGGCAAATACTTGAAAAAGACATTTCTCTGAGGAAGTTGTACATATGGACAACAGCTGTATGAAAACTAATTAATGTAAATTCATCATCAGGAAAATCAAAACTGCAATGAGATATCACCTCATACCTCTTACCATGTCTTTATCAACATACAGACACAAACACACACATACATATATACACACACAATAAAAGTTGTTGGCTAGGAAATGGAGAAATTGAAACTTTCATACACTGTCAGTGTGAATATAAATTTTTACAGCCAAAATGAAAACAGTGTAGAGGTTGCTCAAAAAATTAAAAATAGAACTTCCATATGATCCACCCATCCTGCAATATGTAACAACATAGATGAACCTTCAGGAAATAATTTTAAGTGAAATAAGCCAGTCTCAATGGGACACATACTCTATGATTCTACTTGTGTAAGAAATTTGAAACAGTCAGACTCAAAGAAACGGAGAGTAGAATGGAGGTTACCAGTGGCTGGAGAATGGAGGAAATTGAGAGTTGCTTTTCAATGAGTATAAAGTTCCAGTAAAAATAAGATGAGCAGGTTTCAGAGCACTGCTGCACAACATTGTGGCCATAGTTAACAATAATGTATCATACACTTAAAATACTTTTAAAAGAGTAGATCTCATTTTATTTTCACTTATACAAGACATACTTCCAAGATATTGCAGATTTGGTCCCAGAACACTGAAGTAAAGTAAGTCAAACAAAATTTTCTGGTTTTCCATGGCATATAGATGTTATGTTTACACTATACTGTAGTCTCTTAAGTCTGCAATATAAATATGTTACAAATAATGTACACACTGTAATGAAAATACTTCATTGCTTTAAAAATCCTAACAATCATCTGAGCCTGCAGTGAGTTGTAATCATTTTGTAGGTGGAGGGTCTTGCATTGATGATGACAGCTGCTAACTAATCAGGGTGGTGGCTGCTGAAAGTTTGGGGAGCTGTGGCAATGTCTTTTAAAAAGACAAAAATAATGTTTGCTGCACCCATTGACCTTCCTTCTTTAAAAATTTCCAACTTTTATTTAAAGTTCAAGGTACATGTGCAGGATGTCCAGGTTTGTTACAAGGTAAACGTGTGCCATCGTGGTTTGCTGCACAGATCATCCCATTACCCAGGTATTAAGCCTAGAATCCATTAGCTATTCTTTCTGATCCTCTCCCTCCTCGCATCCCCTGACCTCCAAAAGTCCCCACTGTGTGTTTTTACCCCCCATGTATCCATATCTTCTCATTATTTAGCTATCACATATAAGTTAGGACATGTGGTATTTGGTTATCTGTTTCTGCATTATTTTGCTATGAATAACAGCCTCCAACTCCAACCATGTCCCTGCAAAGGATATGATCTCATTCTTTTTTAGGGATGCATAGTATTCCAAGGAGAATATGTACCACATTTTCTTTGTCCAGTCTGTCATTGATGGGCATTTAGGTTGAGTCCATGTCTTTGCTATTGTGAATATTGCCACAACGAACATATGCATGCATGTGTCTTTATAATAGAACAATTTATGTTACTTTGGGTATACACCTAGTAATGGGATTGCTGGGAAAAATTATATTTCTGCCTCTAGGTCTTTCAGGAATCACCACACTGTCTTTCACAATGGTTGAACAAATTTAAACTCTCACCAACAGTGTAAAAGTGTTCCTTTTTCTCCACAATCTCACCAGCATCTGTTGTTTTTGACTTATTAAAAATAGCCATTCTGACTGGCTTGAGTTAGCATCTCATTGTGATTTTGACTTGGATTTATCTGCAGCATGCAATGCAATTTGGTAGCATTTTACTCATGATAGAACTTCTTTTAAAGTTGGAATCAATCCACTTAAACCCTACTGCTGCTTTATCAAATAACCTTAAGTAATATTCTAAGTACTTTGTTGTCATTTCAACAATGTTCACAGCATCTTCACCAGGAGTAGGTTCTATCTCACTATACCAAATTTTTTTGCTGATCCATAAGAAAGAACTCATCTATTCAAGTTTTATCATGAGATTATAGCAATTCAGTCACAACTTCAGGTTCTTCTTTTAATTCCAGTAATAGTTCCCTTACTATTTCTACCATATCTGTGGTTACTTCTTCCATTGAATTCTTGAAGCTCTCAACATTATCTATGATATTTGAAATCAAATTCTGCCAAATTCCTGTTAATGTTGATATGTTTACTTCATTTAATGACTCAAATGTTCTTAATATCATCTAGAAAGGTGAAACTTTTCCAGAAAGTGTTGAATTTACTTTGACAACGTCCAACAGAGAAATTGCTGTTAATGGCAGCAATAATCTTACGAAACTTATTCCTTAATTGACTTAAAAGTTGAAATTACTTTTTGATATATGTGTTACAGAAAGAATGTTGTATTACCAGGCATAAAAACAACATTGATCTCCCTGTATATCTCCATAAGAGCTCTTGGGTGACCAGGTACATTGTCAATGAATGCTAATATTTCTAAAGGAATATTTCTTTCTGGTCAATAGATCTCAACAGTGGGATTAAAATATTTAGTAATTTATGCTGTAAAGAAATGTGTTATCAACCAAGCTTTGATATTCCATTAATAGAGCACAGAGAGAGTAGATTTAGAATAATTTATCTAAGGCCCTAGGATATTCCAAATGGTAAATAAACAGTGACTTCAACCGGGTGCGGTGGCTCATGCCTGTAATCCCACCACTTTGGGAGGCCGAGGTGGGTGGATCATGAAGTCAGGAGATCAAGACCACAGTGAAACCCCGTCTCTACTAAAAATACAAAAAATTAGCCAGGCGTGGTGGCGGTTGCCTGTAGTCTCAGCTACTCGGGAGGCTGAGGCAGGAGAATGGCATGAACCTGGGAGGTGGAGCTTGCACTGAACTGAGATGGTGCCACTGCACTCCAGCCTGGGTGACAGAGCAAGACTCCATCTCAAAAAAAAAAAAAAATTGGCTTCAACTTCAAGCCACCAGCTGCATTAGCCTCTAATGAAAGAGTCATCCTGTCCTTTGAAGCATTGAAGCTAGACATTGACTTCTCCTGTGAAGATATAAAAAAGCTAAATGTTATCTTCTTTCAAGAGAAAGATGCTCTGTACACAAGGAAAAATCTCCTGTTTAGTGTGGCCACTTTCAGTAACTATTTTGGCTACATCTTCTGGATAATCTTCTGTAGCTTCTTTTATTTTGCACTTTTATGTTATGGAGATGGTTTATTCCCTTAAACTTCGTGAACCAACCACTGCTAGATTCAAAGATTTCTTCTTCACCCCTGTCAGCATTGGAGAGAATTATGGCCTTGTTCTGGTTTAGGCTTTGTCTAAATTTGGGGACTATTGTCACTGGTTTGATCTTTTATCCAGCCAACAAGGCTGTTGCACTTTCATATCATTCATGTGTACATGTGTAGCACTTTTAATGTCTTTCCCAAATTTTTTTTTTATATTCACAACTTGGCTAACTATTTGGCATAAGAGGTACAGATCTGAGCCTGTATCAGCTTTCAACATGCCTTTCTTAATAAGTTTAATCATTTCCAGCTTTTGATATTGAGATGACAGAGCCTTCCTTTCCCTTGAACATTTAGAGGCCATTTGTAGGATTACTAATTTGCCTGATTTCAACATTGCTGTGCCTCGGGAAATAGAGAGGCCTAAGGAGAGAGAGAGAAATGGGGGAAAGGCTGGTTGGTAGAGCAGTCAGAAGACACCAGCACTTATCAGTTAAGTTTATCGTATTATCCCAATACAGTTTCTGGTGCCCGCAACACAATACTACAGTAAAATCAACAATCAGTTAACACAACTCATCATAATAAATATAATAATAATAAAAATGTTTGGAACTTTGTGAAATTTACCAAAATGTGCCACAGTGACAGAGTTAGCACATCCTGTTGGAAAGATGGCACTGGTAAACTTGCCCAATGCAGGGCAGCAATAAGCTTTCAATTTGTAAAAAAGACCATATCTGTAAAACAAAATAAAATGAGGAATGTTTTTGCATTTTTGCCTGTGTGTGTGTGTGTGTGTGTGTGTGTATCTATATGTTGTGGGACTTTTTCTTAGTTCAACTAAAAGCAAGGTTCTTGTCACATGGCCATGAAAAATTAGGCACACGGACTTTGAAGGTGAATAATGCAGAGTTTTGTTAGGTAAAAAGGAAGAAAAGGCAAAACAGAGGCTCTTAGTGAAGTGAGAGAGTGTGTTTTCCTGCCGGTGGGTTTGCCACCTCACAGACTGAATTCCAGGTTCCATCCAAGAAGAGGAGGGGCCGGGCTCCTCCTCACTGCAAATCATATGAACTTCTGTGGCTCCACCCCAGTGTGCACTCCTCCCAGTGCACAGGCTCTCTGGTGTTTCTCTGGGAACCCCTCCCACCTGGTTGTGTCAAATAAATAAATATAAGTTTATGAAAGATAACTCAATGCTGACAAGCTGAATATACACATGTACACTGAGTACATATGCTACATTTCTATTTAAATCATCTGTTAACAGTCAAAAGTTTAAATCTTCATAGAACATCACAATTGTAAAAAAGAAACAATTTAAACACATCTTTAGCATTAAAATATTGTGTTTTCTATAAAAAATTAAAGTGTCCAGGCATTGACCTAAAATTATAAAGCGTAATATTAGCAATATTTATTCAAGAAAATCTACTAAGTCCTGGTAAAAATAATGAGAGCCTATTAATTTCAACCATGAACTGCTCCCTCACCCACTCCCAACTTAATTTGACATAAATTCTACTACAGGAAGACACAGACAAGAAAATATATTAAACTGATTCAAAAAGAAACAGAACATCTGAATAGACCTATAACAAAAAGAGAGGCTGAATTGGTCCAAAATACAACCCACAAAGAATTGCCTAGGTCAAGATGCCTTTATTTTGAAATCTATAAGTCATTTAAAGCAGAAAAATTAACAATTCCTCAAAAATAATCCTTCAAATCACAGAAAAGAAAAATGCATTATCAACATATTTAACTAATTCCTTCTAGTAAAACCACACAAAGATATCACAAAAAATAAAAACTACAGATCGATAAATCTTATGATTATGAACTCAGAAATCCACAAAATTTGCTAGCAAAATGAATGTAAGAATATACAGAAGCAATTATATACCCTGAATAAGTAAAAGTTTTATTAAAAATGCAAAGTTGCTTTAACGTTAAAATCTCTATTAACATAATACAAAATGTAATTAGAACAGAGAAATAAAACTGCATGATCATCTCAATAAATGCAGAAAAATTAATTTAATAAAATTCAATATCCTTCATTATAACAGTACCCCGTAAAGTAGGGATAGAGGGAAACTTTCTCAAACTGGTAAGTGTTATCTATAAAAAATGCACAGCTAACATCATACTTAATGGAGAAAGACTAAATCCACTCTTTATCTATATTGAATATTTTAATGGAGCTTCTAGTCAAGATAAAGGCAAGAAAATGAAAAAAATAAATCTACATTGAAAAGAAAGAAGTTAAACTTTTGGCATATGACATGACCTTACATCTAGAAAATCTTTAGGAATCTGCTAGAAAAAATATTGGAACAATAAACAAAGCAAATTTTCAGGATAAAAGATCAATAAACAAAAAAATTACTTTACATAATTGCAATGAAATATCCAAAATGAAATTAAGAAAACAATTGCACTTCAAATAACATCCAAAAGAATATAACTATTAGGAATCAATTTTAACAAAATAAGTGTAAAACTTGCATTATGGATACTGTAAAGCATAGAGGAAAGAAATTTAAAAGATGTAAATAAATGGAAAGACATCTCATCTTCACAGATTAAAACACAGTATTGTTGTAGTGTCCATACTCCACTCCCCAAATAGATATACAGATTTAATGCAATCCCTATCAAAATCCCAACTGGCTTCTTCCAGTAAATTGACAAACTAATTCTGAAATTCACAAAGATATTCAAGAAACCTAAAGATAGCCAAAAAAGTCTTAAAATAAAGAACAAAGTTGTACTTTGTGATGCCAAGGCAGGTAGATCACTTGAGCAAAGGAGTTTAAGACCAGCCTGGGCAACATAAGGAGACTCTTGTCTTTATAATACTAATAATAATATATTAGCCAGGAGAGGTGACACATGCCTGTGGTCCTAGCAACTCAGTAGGCTAAGGTGATAGGATTGCTTGAGCCTGGGAGTTCAAGGCTGCAGTGAGCCATGATCACACCACTCTACTTCAGCCTGGGAAACAGAGTAAGATCCTGTCTGAAAATAATAATAATAATAATAACAAAGTTGGAAGATTTACACTTTCTTCTTTCAAAGCCAACTACAAATCTATAATAATCAAATGAGCCTGGTATAGGCATACAAATAGACATATATACAAACAAAATAGATTTTAGAACCCAGAAACATACCCACATATTTATGGTTTTTTACAAAGATGCCAAAACAATTCAATGAAAAAATTGAACAGTCTTGAACAAATGCTTATTGAATAACGGATTGCCCACAAACAAAAGAATAAAGTTTGACTTCTGGTCTCAAGCCATTTACAAAACTACTAAAAGTAGGTCAAAGGCTTAAATTTAAGAGGTAGAATCATAAAATTCCAAAAAGAACACACAGAAGATAATCTTCATGGCTTTGAATTTGGCAGTGGTTTCTTACATATGACATCAAAAGCATAAGCAATCAAATATGAAAAATATATAAATAGGTCTTTATCAAATTTAGTACTTTTGTGCTTCAAAGGACAGCATCAAGAAAACAAAAGCCCACATAATCTTAGAATCTATTTTCAAATGATATAACTAATGAAGTACTTGTATCAGAAATACGACTTACAACTTAATAAGAAAAAGAAATTAATTAAAAATGGGCAATGGATGTGAATAGAAATTTCTCCAAAAAAGAAAAAAAATACAGTGGCTTATAAGCAAAGTCAAAATGTTCAACATCATTAGACACCAAGGAAATATAATCAACAATGAGATACTGAAGGGGGCCAGCCCCTCCACACCTGTGGGTGTTTCTTGTCAGGTGGGCCAAGAGACTGAGAAAAGAAAGAGACAGAGAGACAAAGTATAGAGAAAGAAAAGTGGGCCCTGCGGACCGGCACTTAGCATACAGAGGACCCACACTGGCACTGGTCTCTGAGTTCCCTCAGTATTTTTTGATCATTATCTCTACTATCTCGAGAGGGGGATGTGGCAGGACAATAGGGTTATAGTGGGGAGAGGGTCAGCAGGAAAACATGTGAACAAATGTCTCTGTGTCATAAACAAGGTTAAGAAAAGGTGCTGTGCTTTGATGTGCACATACATAAACATCTCGGTGCATTAAAGAGCAGTATTGTCACCAGCATGTCTTACCTCCAGCCCTAAGGTGGTTTTCTCCTATCTTAGTAAATGGAACATGCAATCGGGTTTTACAATGAGACATTCCATTGCCCAGGGATTAGCAGGAGACAGATGACTTCCTCTTATCTCAACTGCAAAGAGGCCTTCCTCTTTTACTAATCCTCCTCAGCACAGACCCTTTACGGGTGTTGGGCTGGGGGATGGTCAGGTCTTTCCCTTCCCACGAGGCCATATCTCAGGCTATCGCATGGGGAGAAACCTTTTACAATACCTGGCTTTCCTAAGCAGAGGTCCCTGTGGCCTTCCGCAGTGTATTGTGTGCCTGGGTACTTGAGATAAGAGAGTGGTGATGACTTCTAACAAACATATTGCCTTCAAGCACTTGTTTAACAAAGCACATACTGCATAGCCCTAAATCCATTAAACCTTGAGTCAACACAGCACATGTCTCTGCCAGCACAGGGTTGGGGCTAGTGTTATCGATTAACTGCATCTCAAGGCAGAAGATTTTTTCTTAGTACAGAACAAAATGGAGTCTCTTATGTCTACTTCTTTCTACATAGACACAGTAACAGTCTGATCTCTCTTTCTTTTCCCCACAAGACACTACTTCAACCCACCAGCCTAGCTGTAATAAAAAGACACATAATCATTTGTTGAAAACGATGTGGAGACATTGTAACACTTACACATTGCTGATGGGAATGGAAAATGGTGCAACCACATTGGAAAACAGTCTAGCAATTTCTCAAAAGTTTACACGTACAGTTTAACCTTTTATAGCTAAACATGCAAGGAAACACAACACAGCAATTCTACTTCTAAGAATATGTATCTGACAGAAATGAAAACACAGTTACACTAAGCTTGTTCATAAGCATCATTATTCATACTAGCCAAAAATAGGGAAAAATTAATGTCCATCAACTGATAAATAAATCGATAAAATGTGTATGCTCATATATAAAATGTTTATTTTGCCATTAAAAAGGAATGAAGTCCTTACATATGCTACATCATAAATGAACCTTTAAAATGTTATGCTAAATGAAGGAAGCCAGTCACAAGAAACTATATATTGTACGATTATATTTATTTTAAAATTTCCAGAATAGGCAAATCTATAGATACAAATTTAATTAGCAATTGAGCAGGGCAGGAGAAATGCAGAAACTCAGGGTGAGGAAAAAATACTAAAGAGTACAGGGTTTATTTTGTGATACAAATAAAAATGCTCTGAAACTGATTGTTGTCATGGATGTACAATTCTGTGAATATACCACAAATAATGGATTTTACAAAATAATCAGTAAATTGTATAGCATAGCAATTATATGTCAACTTTTACCAAAAAATTCCTTGAAGCACAATATCCAAGAAATGCTGATATACTCATATAATTATTTTCATCTTTAATTCCATCTCAAAGTGATTGCAGAACTAAAGGAACTTCTCACTGTGAATGTTCTTGACACTATTGTAAAATATATTACATAAAATAAGTGACTCATCCACGCAAAATTATTGATACTACCTGGATAATAGCATTTACAAACATAAAAGGGACATTAAAGACTCAAGTAAAGAGCAAGTTGTTTGTCTCTTTGCCATGCACATACTTAGACTTTTAATATACTGTGTTTACATTAAACCATAAGAGTTAACTTCTTCTGAGGAAAAATTCAAGCTGGCTGCAGAAATTTGCATAAGTAATGAGGAGCCAAATGTTAATCACCAAGACAATGGGGGAAATGTCTTCAGAGCATGTCAGGCCTTCACGGCAGCCCCTTCCATCACAGGCCTGGTGGGCTAGAAAGAAAAAAATCGTCCCAGTATTCTGTGTAGCCTAGGGACTTCAAGAAGGAAAATGTGGAGTTGGAACTCCCACTGAGTTGCTTCTCAGACACTGCCTAAAGGAGCTGTGAGAAAAGGGCCACCATCCTCCAGACACCTGAGTGGTAGATCCACCAACAACTTGCACCATGCACCTGGAAAAGCTAAAGACACTCAATGCCAGCCCTTTAAAGCAGCTGGGGGGGAGGCTGCACCCTGCAAAGCCACAGGTGTGGAGCTGCCCAAGGCCATGGAAACCCACCTCTTGCATCAGTGTGACCTGGATGTGAGACATGAAGTCAAAAAAGATCATTTTGTAATTTTAAGGCTTAATGACTGCCCTGTTGGATTTCTGGCATGCATGGGGCCTGTAGCCCCTTCATTTTAGCCAATTTCTCCCATTTGAAATATCTGTATTTATCCAATGCTGGTACCCTCATTGTATCTGGGAATTAACTAACTTGCTTTTGATTCTACAGGTTCATAGGCAGAAGACACTTGTCTCATCTCAGATGAGACTTTGGGCTGTGGACCTCTGAGTTAATACTGAAATTAGTTAAGACTTTGGAGGACTGTCTGTAAGGCATGATTGGTTTTGAAATGTGGGGACATGAGATTTGGGAGGGGCCAGGGGCAGAATGACATGGCTTGACTGTGTCCCCACCCACATCTCATCTTGTATTCCCATGTGCTGTGAGAGGGTCCTAGTAAGAGGTAATTGAATCATGGAGGCAGGTCTTTCCTGTGCTGTTCTCATGATAGTGAATAAGTCTGACAATAGCTGATGGTTTTATAAGGGGTAGTTTCCCTGCACAAGTTCTCTCTCTTTGCCTGCTGCCATCCATGTAAGACGTGGCTTGCTCTTTGCATTCCACCATGATTGTGATGCCTTCCCAGCCACGTGGAACTGTGAGTCCTTCAAACTTCTTTTTATCCCATCTTGAGTATGTCTTTGTCAACAGTGTGAAAATTAACTAAAACAGAAGGTAAGTACGTATAAAGTCAGAGAAGTACTGTTTTTCAATAAAAGAAATGAGGAAATGAAAATATAAAATAATCTATCAATCTCACAAATATTATGGAAAGACTTACATTATAGCATCTGTTAGAACCCTGTGGTCATCACTAATACAGCACACTCCAGGAACTCATAAACCTATAAATTAATGTCATTAGGATTTCTTTCAGCAATCACACATCCATTTTACTTGACATATTTTTCATTTAAGAAAAGTCATTAGACACATCAAGAAACATCCTGCTGAATGCAGACATGTAGATTGAGGAGTTATGCATTTTTCTAGCACAACTATCTAGTTAGCATTGAGGGGATTGTTTTGAATTGTGTATCTCAGGTCCCTTATTTAGAAATTAAAATATTTTCCCACAGTACCATAATGTTTCCTTCACAATTGAACGATACAATTTCTCTATCAAAGACTCAAAAATCAATGCAGGTAATTTGAAGTTTCTAGTATCTTTATACTCCTTCATTAAAGGATTGAAAATCATTTGTCTTAAAGTCAAACATCTGTTGAAATGTGAACATCAAGTTACTTCTGTATAGTTTTTTTTTTAACTATGTCTCTTCACTAAGAACAATATGAGTGAAATCCATGTTAGGCAAAAGTCTCTATTTCAATAATTTCTGAAAAAATTTCAGCTGCTATTTGACAATATGTTTACTTAAAATCTAACATTATTAAGACCTTAGCATGAACCCAAAGCAGTAGTAGGTACAAGGATTTCAGCCATACTCACAAAATACTCAACAGTTCACTTGAAGAACAAAAGATCAAGGGACTAGCTTAATTTTTGAAAAAAATTGAGTACTTCTTAGAAAATTGTTTTTTATGAGTAGAGTAGAATCCATTGATCATGGACCTCAAAGACTTGTTTTAAGTGTATATCTATTACTATTGCTGCTTTATAGAGTAAACAAATGCATGTTTTATTCTCTAAGGTTTATTTTAATTATGGTTTACGATGGCGAATACACTGATGTGATAGAAGAATAAGTTTTCTCCCACAATTCTCTTAGCACTTGGTCTTTCTTGTAAATACATATGAGCAAAATAGATAATGCACAAAAACTAAATTATCCCCAGGTATAAATACATGTATATTGTTTTATCTAAGCATAGACAATTTATATATCTTTGGCTACATTATTCTAACTCCTTTCAGATAATTATCAGTTGTATTCTCATAACAATTATCTTGTGTCATATGCCTTTGTTTTCCTTTTTCCCATTATGAAAAAATACTACATTATCTGAGATAATGGAGAAAAGTGAAACAAAGCTTCTTCAAAACTACAGGAATTTTTAATTTCCTCACCCACACTTACAAAATGTTCACTTTGTTGGAAAACTTCACGGCAAACCTGCAAAATCCCTGCCAAAGGTAAAAAAAAAAAAAAAAAAACCTGTTTGTTTTGTTTTGTTTTGTTTTGTTTGTCTTAAATTTTTGGTGGGAATGATACTATATTCTTCTTTCAGTGTTTTTGCTTGAAGTGAAAGAAAGATGTTTAGTGGGTGGGGTAAACCAGATGCCAATTAAAGATTCCTATTTCTATATCATCACAATTATATGAATTTCATTATTACTACAGAAAAAAGAGTACTACTAGAGACTATCTGAACCTAGTAATGTTCAAATTAAAGCCTTCATTTTGCAACATATAAGAAAGTATTAGTTATTCAACCAAAGAATACTTATAAAGTGCTTCACACAAACCACTGCTTTGGATTTTAAGAAGACAAGAAAAGTAGACATAGTTTCTGTCCCCACATTCCTTAAACTCTATGTTGAAAGATAAAATATAAGCAAGTAATAAAATGTGTGAAAAGCATTATCTTCAGTACCACAATAACAAGGATATATCCAGTTGGGATAACAGAAAGTATACTGGAGACATGGATAATCAAGATGAGAACTGAAAGGTGTGAAGAAATAGGTGATGAATGAGGGGGAGAGGAAGACACAAAAGGAAAAGCAGGCAAAGTAGTAAAGACAGTTCTCAAGTCTTCAAGTTTAGTTTGCAGAAGAATACTAAGAAACAGATGATTCTGAAGAGGCAAGTTGGAGCCAAATAATTATTAGGATCTTGAAATATTTATTATGGCATTGGGAAGCTACTAAAAAGAGTTAACAAATGGAGAGATCTGATTATATTTCCTTCCTTTAAAAAGTTTCCAAGATATTCAATGAATTAGACTGCAGAGGGTCAGAATAAAAAGAATACACAATTTAGAATTTTTTTAATAAAATCAGGCAGCAAATGATAGAAAAATATACCAGAATGTTGATAGAGATATTTATGTGTACTTTTGCCAGCTTTATATTGTATTGTGGAAAAAAGTTAAAGCAGGTAAAACACTTAAAATGTGTCTGGCACTAAGTCAGTGATCCAGAAATATTAATATTGCAATTTTGGTTATTTTTGTTATTTCCAATAACATTAATTACCTATCATATGCCAGTCACCTGAGATATCATTCCTCATTTAATAGATACTGATTATCATCTAGCACATCAACATTACATTCTCCAGCAATGTTATAGATGACAGATATCCTGTGGACTTGTTTAAAAGCAGAAGCAGAAGTTTTTGCAAACAGATGAGCAAGGTGAAATGCTAATGATGTATTGTAAGGATTGGGGCTCTTCACCAGTATTCTAGCTTAAAATGTACACCATTCTTCAACATAAAAAGAAATTGTGCCCCCAAAATATTTGCAACAAAACCCAGTGTTTACTTGCTTTCACTCCAGCATTTAAACCATTCATCCCTGAGATTCCAGAGGTCTACATGTTACAGCAAAAAAAGGTCATTTTACCCTATAAGAACAGGTGTTTTTCCACCTTATGCCAAGCCTGCAGGACAACTCAGGAAAGCTCCCTGGGGCAACTTATGTCTCAACGTCATACCTGCATCTCAGAGAATCCAAGAAAAAAATGAAAAGTGCTTGCCTAATAAAAACCAAATAATTTCTACCACTTGTATCTGAAAAGTGCCCTTAGTTCATAATAACAATTATTTATTCTATAGAATATTCCTTATGAGAGAACACAAGAATCTCATGTGTTTTAAATTAATATCACACTTTTAAGATATATATAGATAGCAATTATTCTTTGCAACATTATTATACAGTCTCTTAGGGGATCATTTCTGTTTACCTTCTTATTAGCATCAACATACAACTAAAATCTTATTCAATGGCTAAAACATAATATCCATGTTGAATGCAAATTATATAAGGTCTACATGGTAACTTTCTCGTGAGATAAAAGTTGATGAAATACTAATAAAAATTCAAAGCAATCTAACTTTATATTTTAATAATTTTCCCATGTACATTAAGGGAAATTAATAGTGCCACCAGGAAACGGAAGAGTTGGTAGAGAAGTAGGACAAGTGAAAGAATGACTAATAGTACAATCATGATAATTGCTAATACTTACTGTTGTTACTAAATCCAAGTCAATAGTTTTGAAACCTGTCCCCTAATTGTTTATTACATAAAATAATTGTATTACAAATTGCTTGTTTTTCCATTAAGTATATCTTTCAAATTTTTAAATTTTCAATTTTTAAAAATTTTTGTGGTTACCTAGTAAATGTATATATTTGTGGGGTACATGAGATACTTTGATACAGGGATGCAATTGGAAATAAGCATATTATGGAGAATGGAGTATCTATCCCCTCAAGCATTTTTACTTTGTCTTATGCACAATATAATTACACTATTTTAGTTATTTAAAAATGTACAGTGAAGTTATTATTGACTATAGTCACCCTGTTGTGTGATCAAATAGTATGTCTTATTCCTTTTTACATACCTGTTAAAATCCCTGCTTACCCCCATGCCCCCAGTACCCTTCCCAGGCTCAAGTAATCAGCCTTCTACTTTCTATGTTCATTAGTTTAATTAAGTTTTAGATCCCACAAATAAGTGATAACATACCATGTTTGTCTTTCTGTGCCTGGCTTATTTCACTTAGCACAATGAGCTCCAGTTCCATCCATGTTGTTGAAAATGAATGGATCTCATTCTTTTTCATGGCTGAATGGTACTCCACTGTGTCTATGCAACACATGTTCTTCATTCATTTGTTGATGGACATTCACGCTAATTCTAAATCTTAGCTATTGTAAATAGTGCAACAAACATGGGAGTGCGGGTATCTCTTTGACATACTGATTTATTTCTTTTGGGTATATATCTAGCAATGAGATTGCTGGATCATATGGTAGCTCTATTTTTCATTTTTTTGAGGAACCGTCAACTGTTCTCCATAGTGGTCTTTACTAATTTTCACTCCCACCAAAATTGTATAGGGTTCCTTTTTCTTCACATCCCCATCAGCATTTATTTTTGTCTGTCTTTTGGGTATAAGCTACTTTAAATGGTGTGAGAAGATGTCTCATTGTAGTTGTGATTTGACTTTCTCTGATGATCAGTGATATTGAGCATCTTTTCACATGTCTGTTTGCCACTTTTCTGTTTACTTTTGAGAAACATCTCTATTCAAATTCTTTGTCCATTTTTTTATCTTTTCCTATAGAGGGTTTGAGCCCCTTATATATTCTGGTTATTAATTCCTTGTCAGATGGATAGTTTGTAAATATTTTTCCCATTCTGTGGACTGTCTCTTCACTTGTTGATTGTTTCCTTTGCTGTATAGAAGCTGATTAACTTGATGTGATCTCATTTGTTCATTTTTACTTTGCCTGTGATTATGGGGTATAACCCAAGAAATTTTGGCCCAGAAAAACATCCTGGAGATTTTCTTTAATGTTTTCTTGTAGTAGTTCATAATTTGAGGTCTGAGATATAAGCCTTTAAACCATTTTTATTTGATTTTTGTATATGGATAGAGCTAGGGATCTAGTTTCATTCTTCTGCATATAGATATTCTGTTTTCCCAGCACCATTTATTAAAGAGACTGTCTTTTTTTCTGTGTATGTTAATGGCAACTTTGATGAAAATGAGTTCACTGCAGGTGTGTAGATTGTTTTCTGGGTTCTCTATTCTGTTTCATTGATCTCTGTGTCTGTTTTTATGGCAGTAACATGCTGGTTTGGTTACTATAGGTGCGTAGTGTAATATGAAGTCAGATAATGTGACTCCAAGTTGGTTTCTTTTGCTTAGGATACCTTTGACTATTCTGGGTCTTTTCTGGTTTCATATACATTTTGAGATTTTTTTCTATTTCTGTGAAGAATGTAATTGGTATTTTCATGATTTTATTGCATCAGTAGATTGTTTTGCTTAATATAGAAATGTTAACAATATTTATTCATCTAATCAATGAACATGGAATATTTTTTCATTTCTTGGTACCCTCTAATTTCTTACATCAGTGTTTTCTTACATCAGTGTTAATTTCTTACATCAGTAGTTTTCATTATAGAGATCTTTCAGTCCTTTAATTCCTAGATGTTCAATTTTATTTGTGACTATTGTAAATGGGAATACTTTTTTGATTTCTTTTTCAGCTGCTCATTGTAGGCAAATAGAAATGTTATTGATTTTGTCTTGTTAATTTCATGTTCTGCAACTTTATTGAATTGTTCATTGTAAAAATTTTTCACTAGAACATGCTTGGATCAAAATATCTCATGTACCCCGTAAGCATATCCACCAACTATGTACCCACAAAAATATAAAATACTTTAAAGCAATGAACAAATTTTTTTAAAAATATACTATTGAGAGCTTCAAGAACATAAGAGACAAAGCAGAGGAAATAATTTCCAACTATTACCATGTTTTTGAAATGACTCACATAGACAAGAAAGAAGAAAAAGAATAAAGTAATCCTACAGAATTTATGCAACATCACTAAGTAAAAAAGAAAAAAAATTAACATGATGAAAATTCTAGAATGAGAAGATAAACAGCATAGAAATTATATTCAATGAAATAATAGCAGAAAGCTTCTTAAGTTATTGACAAAAGATGAACATCTAGATCCAAGAAGCTGAAAGTTCCACCAAGTTACTTCAATCCAAAAAGGTCTTCACTGATGCACATATCGTCAAATTATCAAGTCAAATGCAAAGCAGGTGTTCTAAAAATGGCAGAAGAAAGCTGACACATCATCTATAAGGGAATCTTCATTCAGCTAATAGTGGATTTCTCAGCATTAACTTATAGGCCAGGAAAGAATAGGAAAATATATGCTAAGTGATAAAATTTGTTTTATAATCATGTCAATGAAGAATATTATATAAAGCAAACTTTGATCCTACAAAAAAAACAGAGACAGAGGAATAAAGTATTTCTCAAACAAGCAAAAACATAAAGAATTTATTACCATTAAACCAGCCTTAAAAGGAATATTTGAGGAAGTCTAACATCTGAAGGTGAAAAGATGATAATACACTTCATAAAAACACACAAAATTATATAACTCACTCATAGAGCCAACAGACAAAGGTGAAAGAAAAAATAATCAAACTTTATCAGTATAGAAAACTATCAAACTGTCAAAATAAGTAATAAGAGAGAAATTAAGGAATAAGGGAGATACAAAATAAACAGAAAAAAATAAAAGAATAAGCCTTTACCTATAAATAAATAAATACCTTGAAAATAAGTGGATTAAATTACACAACTGAAAACGTAGATTGATGGATTAAAAAACAAGACTCAACAATATTCAGCCTAAAAGATACTCATCTCACCAATAAAGTTACACATAGACTGCAATTGAAAAGATGAAATAGATATGCTATGCAAACAGAAACCCAAATCAAGCAGAAATAGCTACACTTACCTCAGCAAAACACAAACTTTAAGCCAAAATTTTGAGAGGAAAAGAGAGACTTAATATGATAATAAATGAATCAATTGTTCAAAAAGACAAAAATGTAAATATATATGCAACCAACCATGAACCGCTGAGATATATGAAGCAAATATTATTATACCTGAAAGGAGAGATAGACCTAAGTCCAATAATAGTTGAGGATGTCACCATCACCTTTTCAGCATTGGACAGATATTTAGACAATAAATCAACATGAGATTTAAACTGTACCATAGACCAAATTGAAGTAGTTGATATTTACAGAACATTTTAACCAACAGCTGCAGAATGTAAGATTCTTTTTATAGCACATATAACATCCCCAGAATTAACCATATATGAGGACATTAAGCAAGTCTCAACAAATTTTAAAAAATAAAAATTTTACTGATTATTTTATCTGAACACAATGAAATAAATTATAAAATCAATGCCAAGACAAAACTAGAAAAATCCATGAAAATTTAACAACATATTCCTTATAACCAATAGATAAAAAAGAAACAATTTTGAAATTGCTTAAAACAAAGAAAGATCACATCATGCAATAGCAAAATCTGTGAGATTCAACAGAAGCACTATTAAGAGACAAGTTTAGAACAAGAAATGCCTACACAAGAAAAGGAGAAAGGTTTCATATAAAAAATGTAATGATCTATCTCAAATGACTAGAAAAGCAAGAACAAACCAAAACCAAAATTACTATAAGAAAAGAAATATTAATAATTAGCTAGGCCAAATAGGAACAGCTCCAGTCTACAGCTCTCAGCATGAGTGATACAGAAGATGGGTGATTTCTGCATTTCCAACTGAGGTACCAGGTTCATCTCACTGGGGAGTGTCAGACAGTGGGTGCAGGACAGTGGGTACAGTGCACCGAGCATGAGCCAAAGCAGGGTGAGGCATTGCCTCACCCAGGAAGTGCAAGGGGTCAGGGAATTCCCTTTTCTAATCAAAGAAAGCGGTGACAGATGGCACCTGGAAAATCAGGTCACTCTTTATATAATACTGCGCTTTTCCAACAGTCTTAGTGAACGGCACACCAGGAGATTATATCCCATGCCTGGCTCAGAGGGTCCTATGCCCACAGAGCCCCACTCATACCTAGCACAGCAGTCTGAGATCAAACTGCAAGGTGGCAGCGAGGCTGGGGGAGGGGTGCCCGACATTGCTGAGGCTTGAGTAGGTAAACAAAGCAGCTGGGAAGCTCGAACTGGGTGGAGCCAACTGCAGCTCAAGGATGCCTGCTTGCTTCTGTAGACTCCACCTCTGGGAACAAAGCATAGCCAAATAAAAGGAAGCAGAAACCTCTGCAAACTTAAGTGTCCCTGTCTGATGGCCTTGAAGAGAGTATTGGTTCTCCCAGCATGCAGCTGCAGATCTGAGAAAGGACAGACTGCCTCCTCCAGTGGGTCTCTGACAACTGAGTAGCCTAAATGGGAGGCACTCTCCTGTAGGGGCAGACTGACACCTCACATGGCCGGGTACTCCTCTGAGACAAAACTTCCAGAGGAACAATCAGACAGCAACATTTGCTGTTCACCAATATCCGCTGTTCTGCAGCATCCACTGCTGATACCAAGGCAAACAGGGTCTGGAGCGGACCTCCAGCAAACTCCAACATACCTGCAGCTGAGGGTCCTAACTGTTAGAAGGAAAACCAACAAACAGAAAGGACATCCACACCAAAACCCCATCTGTACATCACCATCATCAAAGACCAAAGGTAGATAAAACCACAAAGATAGGGAAAAAAAAAGAGTAGAAAAACTGGAAATTCTAAAAATCAGAGCACCTCTCCTCCTCCAAAGGAATGCAGCTCCTCACCAGAAATGGAACAAAGCTGGATGGAGAATGACTTTGATGAGTTGAGAGAAGAAGGCTTCAGATGATCAAACTACTCCAAGCTAAAGGAGGAAATTCAAACCCATGGCAAAGAAGTTAAAAACCTTGAAAAAAAATTAGACAAATGGCTAACTAGAGCAACCAGTGCAGAGAAGTCCTTAAAGGACTTGATGGAGCTGAAAACCACAGGATGAGACTACTTGATGAATACACAAGCATCAGTAGCCAATTCAATCAACTGGAAGAAAGGGTATCAGTGATGGAAGATCAAATGAATGAAATGAAATGAGAAGAGAAGTTTAGAGAAAAAATAATAAAAAGAAATGAACAAAGCCTCCAAGAAATATGGGACTCTGTGAAAAGACCAAATCTACATCTGATTGGTGAACCTGAAAGTGACGGGGAGAATGGAAGTAACTTGGAAAACACTCTGCAGGATATTATCCAGGAGAACTTCCCCAATCTAGCAATGCAGGCCAATATTCAAATTCGGGAAATACAGAGAACAACACAAAGATACTCATCGAAAAGAGCAACTCCAAGACACATAATTGTCAGATTCACCAAAGTTGAAATGAAGGAAAAAATGTTAAGGGCAGCCAGAGAGAAAGGTCGGGTTACCCACAAAGGGAAGCCCATCAGACTAACAGCAGATCTCTCCACAGAAACTCTACAAGCCAGAAGAGAGTGGGGGCCAGTATTCAACATTCTTAAAGAAAAGAATTTTCAATCCAGAATTTCATATCCCGCCAAACTAAGCTTCATAAGTGAAGGAGAAATAAAATCCTTTACAGACAAGCAAATACTGAGAGATTTTGTCACCACCAGGCCTGCCCTAAAAGAGCTCCTGAAGGAAGCACTAAACATGGAAAGGAACAACTAGTAGCAGCCACTGCAAAAGATGCCAAATTGTAAAGACCGTCATGGCTAGGAAGAAACTGCATCAACTAATGAGCAAAATAACCAGCTAACATCATAATGACAGGATCAAATTCACACATAACAATATTAACCTTAAATGTAAATGGGCTAAATACTCCAATACATTTAAAAATAAATGTAAATGGGCTAAATACTCCACAGACTGGCAAATTGGATAAAGAGTCAAGACCCATCAGTGTGCTGTTTTCAGGAAACCCATCTGACGTGCAGAGACACACATAGGCTCAAAATAAAGGGATGGAGGAAGATCTACCGAGCAAATGGAAAACAAAAAAAGGCAGGGGTTGGAATCCTAGTGTCTGATAAAACAGACTTTAAAACAACAAAGATCAAAAGAGACAAAGAAGGCCATTACATAATGGTAAAGGGATCAATTCAACAAGAAGAGCTAACTATCCTAAATATATATGCACCCAATACAAGGGCACCCAGATTCATAAAGCAAGTCCTTAGAGACCTACAAAGAGACTTAGACTCCCACACAATAATAATAGGAGACTTTAACACCTGACTGTCAACATTAGACAGATCAATAAGGCAGAAAGTTAACAAGGATATCCAGGAACTGAACTCAGCTCTGCACCAAGGTGACCTGATAGACATTTACAGAACTCTCCACCCCAAATCAACAGAATATACATTCTTTTCAGCGCCACACCACACCTATTCCAAAATTGACTACATAGTTGGAAGTAAAGCTCTCCTCAGCAAATGTAAAAGAACAGAAATTATAACAAACTGTCTCTCAGACCACAGTGCAATCAAACTAGAACTCAGGATTAAGAAACTCACTCAAAACCACTCAACTACATGTAAACTGAACAACCTGCTCCTGAATGACTACTGGGTACATAACGAAATGAAGGCAGAAATAAAGATGTTCTTTGAAACCAACGAGAACAAAGACACAACATACCAGAATCTCTGGGACACATTCAAAGCAGTGTGTCGAGGGAAATTTATAGCACTACATCCCCACAAGAGGAAGCAGGAAAGATCTAAAATTGACACCCTAACATTACAATTAAAAGAGCTAGAGAAGCAAGAGCAAACACATTCAAAAGCTAGCAGACAGCAAGAAATAACTAAGATCAGAGTAGAACTGAAGGAAATAGAGACACAAAAACCTTTCAAAAAATCAATAAATCCAGGAACTGGTTTTTTGAAAGGATCAACAAAATTAATACATCGTTAGCAAGACTAATAAAGAAGAAAAGAGAGAAGAATCAAATAGATGCAATAAAAAATGATTAAGGGGATATCACCACCAATCCCAGAGAAATACAAACTACCATCACATAATACTGTAAACACCTCTATGCAAATAAACTAGAAAATCTGGAAGAAATGGATAAATTCCTCAACACATACACCCTCACAAGACTAAACCAGGAAGAAGTTGAATCTCTGAATAGACTGATAACAGGCTCTGAAATTGAGGCAATAATTAATAGCTTACCAACCAAAAAAAGTCCAGGACCAGATGGATTCACAGCCGAATTCTACCAGAGGCACAAGGAGGAGCTGGTACCGTTCTTTCTGAAACTATTCCAATCAATAGAAAAAGAGGAAATCCTCCCTAGCTCATTTTATGAGGCCAGCATCATCCCAATACTGAAGCCTCGCAGAGATACAGCAAAAAAAAAGAGAATTTAGACCAATATCCCTGATGAACATCAATGGAAAAATCCTCAGTAAAATACTGGCAAACTGAATCCAGCAGCACATCAAAAAGCTTATCCACCATGATCAAGTGGGCTTCATCCCTGGGATGCAAAGCTGGTTCTACATATGCAAATCAATAAACTTAATCCAGCATGTAAACAGAACCAACGACAAAAACCACATGATTATCTCAATAGATGCAGAAAAGGCCTTTGACAAAATTCAACGACGCTTCTTGCTAAAAACTCTCAATGAATTAGGTATTGATGGGATGTATCTCAAAATACTAAGAGCTATCTATGAGCAACCCAGAGCCAATATCATACTGAATGGGCAAAAACTGGAAGAATTCCCTTTGAAAATTGGCACAAGAAAGGGATGCCCTCTCTCACCACTCCTATTCAACATAGTGTTGGAAGTTCTGGCCAGGGCAATCAGGCAGGAGAAGGAAATAAAGGGTATTCAATTAGGAAAAGAGGAAGTCAAATTGTCCCTGTTTGCAGATGACATGATTGTATATCTAGAAAACCCCATCATCTCAGCCCAAAATCTCCTTAAGCTGATAGGCAACTTCACCAAAGTCTGAGGATACAAAATCAATGTGTAAAAATCACAAGCATTCTTATACACCAATAACAGACAAAAATAGAGCCAAATCATGAATGAACTCCCATTCACAATTGCTTCAAAGAGAATAAAATATCTAGGAATCCAAATTACAAGGGATGTGAAGGACCTTTTCAAGGAGAACAACAAACCACTGCTCAATGAAATAAAAGAGGATACAAACAAATAGAAGAACATTCCATGCACATGGGAAGGAAGAATCAATATCATGAAAATGGCCATACTGCCCAAGGTAATTTATAGATTCAATGCCATCCCCATCAAGCTACCAATGACTTTCTTCACAGAATTGGAAAAAACTACTTTAAAGTTCATATAGAACCAAAAAAGAGCCCACATTGCCAAGTCAATCCTAAGCCAAAAGAACAAAGCTGGAGGCATCACACTACTTGACTTCAAACTATACTACAAGGCTACAGTAACCAAAACAGCATGGTACTGGTACCAAAACAGAGATATAGACCAAGGGAACAGAACAGAGCCCTCAGAAATAATGCCACATATCTACAACCATCTGAACTTTGACATACTTAACAAAAACCACAAATGGGGAAACGATTCCCTAATTAATAAATGGTGCTGGGAAAACTGGCTAGCCATATGTAGAAAGCTGAAAATGGATCCCTTCCTTACACCTTATACAAAAATTAATTCAAGATGGATTAAAGACTTACATGTTTGACCTAAAACCATAGAAACCCTAGAAGAAAACCTAGGCAATACTTTGAGGACATTAGGCATGGGCAAGGACTTCACGTCTAAAACACCAAAAGCAACGGCAACAAAAGCCAAAATTGGCAAATGGGATCTTATTAAACTAAAGAGCTTCTGAACAGCAACAGAAACTACCATCAGAGTGAACAGGCAACCTACAGAATGGGAGAACATTTTTGCAATCTACTCATCTGACAAAGGGCTAATATCCAGAATCTACAATGAACTCAAACAAATTTACAAGAAAAAAACAAACAACCGCATCAAAAACTGGGCAAAGGATATGAACAGACACTTCTCAAAAGAAGACATTTATGCAGCCAACAGACACATGAAAAAATGCTCATCATCACTGGCCATCAGAGAATTGCAAATCAAAACCACAATGAGATACCATCTCACACCAGTTAGAATGGCAATCATTAAAAGTCAGGAAACAACAGGTGCCAGGGAGGATGTGGAGAAATAGGAACACTTTTACACTGTTGGTGGGACTGTAAACTAGTTCAACCATTGTGGAAGTCAGTGTGGCGATTCCTCAGGGATCTAGAACTAGAAATACCACTTGACCCAGCCATCCCATTACTGGGTATATACCCAAAGGACTATAAATCATGCTGCTATAAAGACACATGCACACGTATGTTTATTGCTGCACTATTCACAATAGCAAAGACTTGGAACCAACCCAAATATCCAACAATGATAGACTGGATTAAGAAAATGTGGCACATATACACCATGGAATACTATGCAGCCATAAAAAATGATGAGTTCATGTCCTTTGTAGGGACATGGATGAAGCTGGAAACCATCATTCTCAGCAAAGTATTACAAGGACAAAAAACCAAACACCACATGTTCTCACTCATAGGTGGGAATTGAACAATGAGAACACATGGACACAGGAAGGAGAACATCACACACTGGGGACTGTTATGGGGTGGGGGGAGGGGGGAGGAATAGCATTAGGAGATATACCTAATGTTAAATGACGAGTTAATGGGTGCAGCACACCAACATGGCACATGTATGCATATGTAACTAACCTGCACGTTGTGCACATGTACCCTAAAACTTAAAGTATAATAAAAACAAAACAAAACAAAACAAAAACAAAAACAAAAACAAAAAAAGAGGGTGCTTTTGGTGTTGTGCAAAGTCTCATGAGGGCAAAAGGGAGATTTTTTTGTCCATGACTCGCAGGTTTCTAGAGCCGGCTTGATGAGTTAGGCTTTAAGGACAGAGTTAATTTTTTCAACTTTGCCTGAAGATTGAGGTGTGTAGGGTGTGTGGAGAACTTACTTATTCTTAAGGATGTAGAGATGCCTCGGGTAATGTGGCTGATGAAGGCAGGACTGTTATCGGACTGGATGGATGTTGGGAGTCTGAAACAGGGAACTGTATGCATGATGAGTTTGTGTGATGATATTTGCACCTTTTGAAGTTGTTGGGAACACTTCTCCCTAGCCAGAGAAAGTACAGACAAGGATTAGAAGATAGCAGAGACATTTATCATGCAGCATATGAGTGAAGTCTACTTGCCAATCTTCCCCAGGTACCTGGCCCTGGGCTTGGTGGGTATGAAAAGGCAGAGGCTGGAGGGATCCCTGGGGTTACATTGAGTGGCAGATAGAGCAGGACTGGATAATTTCTTGAACATGGCTGGAAAAGTGACGACAAGTGAGAATAGCGTGGAGAAGCTGCAAGAGGTTGTTAACCAACATGGAAAGAGTTGTGGAGGCTTTGGAGGTGAGGAAGGCTTTGAGAGTGAGGAATAACTAAGCACCCTTCCTTGACATAATATCGTCCTTGCTTTTGAAGGTTTTGGGCTTGGAAATCTTTTTCTTCTTAGAAGTAAAGAGGAGAGAACAAGGACAAGGACAGCAACTGGCCTCGAAAGGGTAGTAGGGCTACTTGTTTGGCTACCTGATCTGCTAGCACATTTCCAGCCAATTTAGGATTGTCTGGGGTTTGGTGGCCCCTGCAATGAATGATGGCAACTTTCTGTGGGAGCCTGGCAGCTTGAAGGAGCTTGCTGATGAGAGAGCCACTTATGACAGTATTGTTTGCAGTGAGGAAACCCCGTTCTTTCCAGATGGATGAGTGTGAGTGCACTACGTGGAACACATAAGGAGAATTTGAATATATTGATCTGTTTTCCGGATGCTAGAATGAGAGCTCGAGTGAGGGCAATGAGTTCAGCCTTTTGGGAGGTGGTGCCTAAGAGGAGCAGATTGACTTCAATAGTGTTGGGGGGTGACACTATAGCATAGCCAGCATGTCGGTGTCCTTGATGTAGGAAGGAGCTGCCATCTACAAACCGAGTAAAGGACGCATCTGGAAGGGATTTTTCTGTTAGGTTTGGAAAAGGTATAAGAAAGGTTTGAACAGTATTCACACATAAGAGTGTGAAGAAGAGTCTTGGGCGGTTGTAGCTTCGGGTAAGAGCATGGCCGGGTTTAGATGGGAGGTGGTTAGCATGGTGATGTGGGGAGTTTCTATGAATAGAGCATACAGCTGGAGGAGCCGTGGGGCAGAGAAAAGACTTAGTACACTGCGGTGAGCTAACATGTCTTTGATGTTATGGGTTGAATAAACTGTTAGGTTGGCATGAAGAGATAGTTTTAGGCTTTTAAGAGTGAGGACAGCAACTGCCACCAATGCTCAGGGGCAGGCAGGCCATCCGAGAACTGTGGCTTCAAGCTGTTTAGGGAGGTAGGCAACAACCTGGCCGGGTGGGTCCCTTAGACTGGGTTAGAACACCTAGTGCAACTCCACGCCATTCATCGGTATAGAGGGAGAAAGGTTTGGTGAAGTCTGGGAGAGTGAGGATGGGGGCTGAGATGAGAGACTTTTGGAGTAGATGGAAAGGTTGGGTAATAGGCTGTGCAGGTTTTAAAGGCTCATGGAGAGGGCCTTTAGCAGCTTGGTACAACGGTTTGGTAAGTAGAGCGAAGGAGGAAACCCAGAGCTTAAAATATCCTGCTAATCCTGGAAAAGAGAGAATTTCTTGCTTAGTTTGTGGAGGCGGGAGGGACAGAAGGAGGGAGTATGTGGTCTGTTGTGAGCCCTTGCATTCAGGGGTAAGAGCTAGGCCTAGATAGGTGACTGGGGGGTGCATATTTGGGCTTTCTTAGGGGAGACCTGATACCCCTGTTCTGCCAAGAGGTTTAAAAGGGAGATAGTATGTATGGGTGTTGCAGTCTCTTTGAGACGGGCTACACAGGAGCAGATTATTAACATATTAAAGAAGAGAGGATGATTTTAGGGATAAAGTACAGAAGTTACTAGCAAGGGCCTGTCCAAAAAGGTGGGGGCTGTCTCTAAAACCTTGAGGTAGTACGCACCAGGTGAGCTGACCTGAAAGGTGGGTGTCGGGGTTTTCCCAGGTAAAGGCAAAGAGGTTTTGGGAATCAGGGTGTAAAGGAATTGTGAAAAAGCATCATTTAGGTTTAGAACAGAAAAATGGGTGGTATTCGAGGGAAGTGAGGAAAGTAAAGTATATGGGTTAGAAACTACTGGACACACTGGGAGTACAGCTTGGTTAATGAGCCTGAGGTCCTGGACTAAGTGATAAGTTCCATCTGGCTTTTTAACAGGTAGAACTGATGTGTTAAAAGGAGAGTTTGTTGGGCAGAGTAGGTGACTGGTGAGGAGGAGAGAAATGATAGGCTTTAGGCCTATGAGAGCTGCTTGGGGGATGAGATACTGCTTCTGTGATAGGAACGGGGTGGGCTCTTTAAGGGTGATGTGGATGGGGGTGTGGTGCTCTGTGACCGAGGGTGTGGAAGTATCCCAAACAGTGGGGTTAACTACAGGTGCGGGATAAGGAAAAGTTGCATGTTTCAGGGTGGGAGGTCGGAGGAGTAGAAGAAGGTTAGAAGCCTGTTAGAAGCCTTGGAGGGGTCTGGGTTGATGTGTTGGGTACTATGGGGAATGTGGAAGTGGAGAGTAGTGTGGAGTTTTGAAAGAATATCTCTGCCTAGGAGCGGAGCTGGGCATGAAGGCAGGACTAAGAAAGAGTGACTGAAGGAAAAGGTGTTCAGGGAGCAGAAAAGTGGAGGGGGGTCTTGGGGTTTGGAGACTTGTCCATTGATTCCCACAACAGAGACTTGGGAGGACTGGGTGGGTCCTGAAAATTTAGGTAAAGCAGAGTAGGTTGCTCCAATATTAATTTTTAAAAAACATGCATGCCTACCTGCCACCATCAGAGTTACCCTTGGCTCAGATGAAGCAATGGTAGTTGCTGGGACATCTGTTCCAGGGCACTGTCAGTCTTCAGTGGCAAGGCCGATGAGATCCGAGTAGGAGGTTTTGGCCAGCTCGGAAAGGGATGGAGGCGATCCTTGCTGGAGCCGCTCACAGCCTGACTTTCACTGAGTCCTCCACAGAGGGGGCACAGCCTGGTGAGCACAGCTGGGTTTGGGCATGGCCTGGACCAGTAGCCTTCATTGCCACACTTGAAACAGGCGCCAGGTGGAGGTGTTTTGCTAGGAGGCTTCTGTATGGAGCTGTGGCCCTGTGGGCCTGCAGGGTAAAGGCAAGCATTGGAAACTGTTTTTTTCTTTTACTTTCCTCATCACAACTGTTAAAGACTTTGAAGGCTAAATTAAGAAGGTCCCACTGTGGGGTTTGAGGGCCGTCATCAACCTTCTGAAGCTTGCGCCAAATATCATGGTAGATTGGGTGAGGAACTGAAGGTTTGAAATAGTGGTTCCTTCTGGGCTGGCTGGGTCCAGGTTGGTAATTTTCTCATGGCTTCAGTTAAACAAGAGAGAAAAAGGGCTGGGTTTTTGTCAGGACCTTCGGTGATTTCTGAAAGTTTTTCATAGTTTACCACTTTATGGGCACCCTTTTTGAGTCCTGCAAGGAGACACATAATCATGAGGTCTTGATGGCTGTGTCCAGAGGCCCTGTCTTGATAATCCCAGTGGGGGTCCTGGTTGGGAACTGCCTCTGTGCCAGTAGGCTGGGCAGGAGCTTGATGATGAATTGTATTAGCATGCACCTGAGCTAGGGTCCAAGTACGGTGCTGGTCTTCTGGGGTGAGGGTGGAAGAGAAGATAAGTAGCTGTCATGCCAGGTTAGTTCATAAGACTGAGTAAGGTACTGAATCTCCCTAATATAAGAGGTAGGATCTTCTGGAAATGAACTGAGTCTTTTGTTAGTTTGAGAGAGATCAGTGAGGGAGAAGGGAACATGAACTCTAACAATACCTTCAGTTCCTGCTACTTCCCGAAGGGGGCATTCTAGCACTGGCGCTAAAGTACGGGTGGGGCATGGGGGCCAAAGATGGTGCCGGAGCTAGTATGGGCAGGAGAGAAGGAAGAAGCCAGAAGGGGTTCCTGCTGAGGGTTTGAAGAGGGAAGGGGGGTTGAGTTGATAGGCATTGGAGGATAGATACGGGTGTAAGGTGGCGGGATGGGTTTACAGGCTCCGTGAGAGGGCTGTAAGGAAGGAGAATGAGTACAGGCAATGCTAGAGTTTTCCTGAGGAGAGGATGGTATAGGAAAAGAAGTGGGTGATGCTGGCTGGGAAGATGGTGGCTGGGAAGATGGTGGCTGAGAAGACAATGAGGAAGCTTGGGGAGTTAATGAAGTTGGTTGAGATGGAGGGGTAGGGTCTGGGAGGGGTGGACAGCAGTCTGCTCCATCCAATGAGGAAAAAGAGGTAGGGTCGG
Source organism: Homo sapiens (assembly GCF_000001405.40). Lineage (NCBI taxonomy): Eukaryota > Metazoa > Chordata > Mammalia > Primates > Hominidae > Homo > Homo sapiens. The sequence continues at coordinate 249,275 of NT_167250.2, read as the reverse complement.
GAGGATAAAGGCAATGAGGGCGGCGAGAATGAAGAAGGATTTGAACAGGTAAGCAAGAATTGCAGAGGTCGGGCTGTGATCTGAGTGCAAAAAGGCCTGGACACAAGGAATTTCTCCCCATTTTCCCAGTCATCTGCAATAACTGCTTAAGTCAGTTAAAACTGTAAAGCTGAGTGTTCCATTTGCGGGCCATTTGGACCCGTTATCTAATTCATACTGCGACCAGGCTTTATCGTATAAAAAAGACAAGGCACTTATGGCAGATATCTTGCCTGAGGCCTAAGGTTTGCAGATTTTTAATGAGGCAGGCTGGAGGGCTGTTTTTTGGAATTGAGGACCGGGAGTTTCCCATAATGAAGGGTAGCTCGAGAGAACAGGGAAAAAGGAGACCATCCTGGACAGCTGGAGGGAGACGATAAAAGGAGTTATCGTCTCCGCTGCCTTTTTGGTTCCTGGAATGGGATGAAATGGCTTAGAGGCATCCCCCTAAGACCAGATGACCAGCGAGTGCCTGGCGCACGCTGGCGCCTTCTTGGATCAGTGTTGGATTTTTGGACTGGAGAAACCAAGAGAGGCCATGTAGATTTTGCCCTGTTAACCGGGCTCCAAGGGAAACTTACCAGTAGGCGAGATCAGTGGCTGATGCGCATGCACAGAGAGGCGACTGGAGGCTGAGGAGCTTCCTCTGTCTAATTGCTGTGGCCTGCTCTCTGGGGTGGAGGGGTAGGTCCACAAGCGACACAGACCTGAGCCCCTCCTAGGATTTGGCACCAGATGTAAGGTTCTTGAATCAGTTTGAACCCCAACAGCGCGCCAACAGACAACAGGAGGCGGTGTGGAGCAACATGCTGTTTTAATGAACGCCTGGTTGCAGGTGGGCTGAGGCCTAAAATGGCATCAGCCCCCAGTGAGGATGGGACAGGGGTTTTGTAGTCCTCTGTAAACAGTAAGTGTCCCAGTCTGTTGTGACTGCTATGTAGTACCTGGATGGCCTATTTCTTGATCTTCAGGGGTACATCTCTTCCAGCCAGGGTAAGTGTCTTCTGGCCGGCTCTCTTCCTGCTTCTGCTATCTTGCTGACACACGCTGCTGATGCAAGTGGTCTTGCATCTTGGGGCTGGGCCTGAGAAGGGAGGAGTTACTCATCCCTTCAAGCCTTCAGGCCCTGAGGAGAATCTTTGAACCCCCTGCATCACTGGCCACCCTCCTGATAGATCCCTGTGATGCCAGGCAGGAATGAGCCGCTTGGGTATCCAGAGAGCTCCCAGTGCCTTTCTGCTACTTCCTCTACCCCTGTATTTTGCTTGGCTTGGTTCTCTAATTTGACTCAGCTTCACATAAAGTCAGGAACTTCTCCTGCCAACAGAACTTCAGCTTCTCCAGTGGGGATGTGTATTCTGGAGAGGGGGATCACCCTTTCCCACTTCCATTGTTGGGGCACTCACAGTGTTTGGGATGTCTCCCAGGTCCTGCAGGAGCAGTACGCTTCCTGCAGAGGGTGTGTGGATCCTCTCAGAATTGCTGGTCTGTTCTTGCAGTTGATCTGCAGCTAAAATTCACAATGCAAGCCTCTGCATGCTGCTCTGTCTGGAGCTGCAATCTAGTCCTGCATCCCATCTGCCATGATCACTGGAAAACCCTCATTTATTTTTTAAAGGGTCCAGAAAATGCTAATCTATAGAGATAGAAATTAGATTAGTGGTTGCCTAGGGTAGGATGGATGCAAAATTTCAGAGTGGGGGGTTAGAGGCTATTGTATAGAATCTTTTGGAGATAATACTGATTATTGTAGTGAAAGTAAAATTCTGTGAATATACTAGGAAACATTGAACTGTACACACTAATTGGTGAGTCATATGGCATATGAATTATGTGTCAACAAAGTTTTAGAAGACATTACTTGCACCACGATATTAAAAAATGCCGTTTGAGTTGTATAATTACTTCTTCTCTCTATGTCAAGGGCACCGAACAGGCAGGAGCCTCTCACTTGCCACTGTTCTTAACAGTATTATAAAATAATTACATAAGACAGGTTACTTACATATTCTAGGTCATAAAAATTATTGCTTGACTAGAGTAATTGTAAACATAAAAGAACACCAAACACACTAAAATAAATATGAGGTCATCAATCTTTTGTTGGTCTCCTTGGCATGCACCTATTCAGACTGTTAGTATTATGTATTTACTTCAAATTTTAGCAGTTATATTTTAACTTGATTGATTTTTCCTCAGATATAAGTATGAGAAATGACAGAAAGAAACAACAACTGGAAAAGAAGCATTGCATAAGACCAGGATGTCTCTGAAATGGACGTCAGTCTTTCTGCTGATACAGCTCAGTTGTTACTTTAGCTCTGGAAGCTGTGGAAAGGTGCTAGTGTGGCCCACAGAATACAGCCATTGGATAAATATGAAGACAATCCTGGAAGAGCTTGTTCAGAGGGGTCATGAGGTGACTGTGTTGACATCTTCGGCTTCTACTCTTGTCAATGCCAGTAAATCATCTGCTATTAAATTAGAAGTTTATCCTACATCTTTAACTAAAAATGATTTGGAAGATTCTCTTCTGAAAATTCTCGATAGATGGATATATGGTGTTTCAAAAAATACATTTTGGTCATATTTTTCACAATTACAAGAATTGTGTTGGGAATATTATGACTACAGTAACAAGCTCTGTAAAGATGCAGTTTTGAATAAGAAACTTATGATGAAACTACAAGAGTCAAAGTTTGATGTCATTCTGGCAGATGCCCTTAATCCCTGTGGTGAGCTACTGGCTGAACTATTTAACATACCCTTTCTGTACAGTCTTCGATTCTCTGTTGGCTACACATTTGAGAAGAATGGTGGAGGATTTCTGTTCCCTCCTTCCTATGTACCTGTTGTTATGTCAGAATTAAGTGATCAAATGATTTTCATGGAGAGGATAAAAAATATGATACATATGCTTTATTTTGACTTTTGGTTTCAAATTTATGATCTGAAGAAGTGGGACCAGTTTTATAGTGAAGTTCTAGGTAAGTCATGTGTCTAACTGGTGCTTATTAAGTTCTAACTTTTCTGTGCCTTTGAAGGTGAGCTTATATAAATATAATGTCAGAAGATAGTGTTTTTAAGGGAAATTATGAATTGCAAATGTAAGATGATCTATCAGTCTCAAAAATATTATAGAATGTTGACCTTATAGAATCAGTTAGAACCCTGGGGCCATCACTACTACAGGACACCCAGAGAGTCATAAACCTTCATTGTAAAGCACTAATGATTTCTTTAAACTATCACATATCATTTTGCTATACATTTTTTCATCTTTAAAAAAAGTCAATAGATACCTCAAGAAACATCTTCATGAAGGCAGACACGTAAATTTAGTATTTACACATATTTCTAGAAAAATTATCAATGCAGGATTGAGGAATTTGTTTCTCTTTGAGTTCCTCAGTTTCCTCATTTAGAAATTAAATTTTGTTTTTCATGTAAGAAGGATTCCTTCACAGTTGAGTAATATAGTGGCTCTACTCCAGAAACAGAAGCCTAAAACTTGAGATTTCTAATGTTTATACATTCCTTCAATAACAGGTTGACAATTATTTCTTTCAAAAACTGAAATCTTGTTGAAAGTGAACATCTAAGTTTTAATCTATATTTTATTAAACTGCATCTCTCCATCAAAGAAAATAGGGGCCAAATTAAGGGAGAGCACATATCTCTATGTCAATAAATTCTGAAAATGTTTTAATTCTCATTTGTAAATATATTTATTTTAAAAATCTAATTATATTAAGATCTTAAGATGAACCAAGACAGTAGTAGGTGTAAAGATTTCAGTGTTGAGCTCAAAAAACTCATGGTTTACTTTGAGAACCAAGGATCAAGGGACTAGCTTAATAAACTGTAGACACTAGAGTACTTCCTGGAAAGCTGTTTTCATGGGTAAGGTAAGATGAATTAATTGTGGAACTGAAAGAGTTGTTTAAAGGTATATTTGTTACTATTGCAGCTTCAGAGGGAAGACAAATGTGTATTTAAGTTCATAGTGGCTACATTAGTCCATTCTCACACTGCTGTAAAGAAATACCTGAGACTGGGTAATTTATAAAGAAAAGAAGTTTAATAGACTCAGTTCTACATGACTGGGATGCCTCAAGAAACTTAGAATCATGGTGAAAGGCTAAGGGGAAGCAAGCTTGGATCTTCTCACTTAGTGGCAGGAGAGAGAAGTGCAAGCAGGGGAAATACCAGACACTTATAAAACTATCAGATCTCATGAGAGCTCACTCAATATCATGAGAACAGCATGGAGGAATCCACACCATGATCCAATCACCTGCCACTGGGTCCCTCCCTGGACACATGGGGATTATGGGGATTATAATTCAAGATGAGAGGAGATTTGGGTGGGGACAGTCAAACCATATTAGTGACTTATTTTAATAATTATTTATGATTGTGAATATACTGATGTTACATTAAAGATGTGATTTCTTCTTACAGATCTCTGAATACATTGCCTTCCTTATATATACATATGAGCAACATATGCAATAAATAAAATCTAAATTATGACTATATATAAATGTATTTATATATATTTTATCAATGCACAGACATTTTATATATGTTTGGGTATGTTATTCCAAGTCCTTTCAGGAAAATACCTGCATATTCAAATAACAATTCTCGTGTTAGCTACCTTTTGTTTTGTTTTGTTTTTTTCCATCAGGAAGACCCACTACATTATTTGAGACAATGGGGAAAGCTGAAATGTGGCTCATTCGAACCTATTGGGATTTTGAATTTCCTCGCCCATTCTTACCAAATGTTGATTTTGTTGGAGGACTTCACTGTAAACCAGCCAAACCCCTGCCTAAGGTAAATGTGTTCTTGTTTCATTTGTTTGCTTGACATTTTCAGAAGGAATGGCTGGATATGTTTCTTTCAGAGTGTTTAACTCAGAGTGAGGGGAATATGGGAGGTCAAAAACAAGGACTTGCCATTAGAAAATCATATATTTCTGTAGTATCACAAGTATGTGAATGTTATTATCATTAAAGACCAAAGAGGTTTACTAGGGAGATTTTGAAAACAGGGTTGGTTAAAGTAAGGCCTTCATTGTGCCACCCAAAAGATAGTATGATTCATTTCTTCAAAAAATATTTGTAGAGTGATTAATACAAACCACAGGTAAGTGCTGGATTTTCAGAGAATAAAGGTAGCACAGTTTCTGCTCCCTCATGCCTTACATTGTACTTTGAAAGATAGAATAAAAACAATGAAAAAGAAAAGTCTAAAAAGTGTTATAAGGAAAGACCACAATGATAAAGAAATATGCAGAAGAGATCCCAAACTCATTGACAATTAAAGTGAGTACTCAATAATGTGCAGAGATAGGTGAAACGATGAGGGGATGAGAAACACCCAAAAAGAAAACCAGAGGCCAGGCAAGGTGGCTCACACCTATAATCCCTGCACTTTGGGAGGCAGAGAAGGCATGATTGCTTGGGCTCAGGAGTTTGAGACCAGCCTGGGAAACGTGGTAAAACCTCATCTCTAACAAAAATAAAAAATAAAATAATAGCCAGGCATGCTGGTGTGTGCCTGTAGTCTCATAGTCGTAGCTACTTAAGAGGCTGAGGCAGGAGGCTTGCTTGAGTCTGGGAGCAGAGGCTGCAGTGAGCTGAGACCACACCACTGAACTCTAGCCTGTGCGACAGAGCGAGACTCTGTCTCAAAAACAAACAAATAAACAAAAAAAAAAAAAGTAAAGGCTTGCATTAAGGCAGAAAAGTAGAAAAGCAATAAGGGCAGTTCCCAGGAACTCCAAATTTAATTTACAGGAAAAGGTTGAGTAAAAGTCAATGATGGGCCGGGCGTGGTGGCTTACACCTGTAATCCCAGCACTTTGGGAGGCCAAGGCAGGTGGATCACCTGAGGTCAGGAGTTGGAGACCAGAGTGGCCAGCATGGTGAAACCCCGTCTCTACTAAAAATGCAAAAGTTAGCCAGGCATGTTGGCAGGTGACTGTAATAGCAGCTACTTGGGAAGCTGAGGCAGGAGAATCACTTGAACCCCGGAGGCAGAGGTTGCAGAGAGCCGAGATCACGCTATTGCACTCCAGCCTGGGCAACAGAGTGAGAATCTGTCTCAAAAAAAAAAAAAATATATATATATATATATGTAATTTGATATACCCATAGGGACAATGGAGAGCTACTGAAAAGAGTGAAAAGAGTTAAGAAATGAAGAGATATGATCAGATTTCCTTTTAAAAAATCCCAATATTCCCAATGTATAATATTGCAAAAAGGCAAGTTTGTAAAATGTAAAGATCATTTAGGAACTTTTACATGAGTTTAAGCAATCATGACTACTTTTATAATAATAATCACAACTTCATATTGTGCTGTGTGGAAAAAAAGTAGTTACCACAGATAAAACACTTAAGTTGTCTCTGACACACAGCCAGTGATCCAAAAATATTGTTGATATTATGATTATTTTAGTCATTATTTTTAATACTTTAAATTAGCTAACATGTGCCAGCCATTTAAGATATCAGTCTTCATTTAATAGTGATTGATTTTCCAACACATCAAGATTATATTCTCTAGCAAAGTCCTAGAGAACAGATACTCTGTGTACTTGTTTAAATGTAAATGTTTAAGTTTGGGCAGTCAGTTGAACAAGCTGGAAAGCTAAAGTTGTATTGTAAAGGTGGAGGCTCTTCATTAATATTCTAGCTTAAAAGGTAATTCTGTGTACTCTTATCTTATTCTCAAAAAAAAATTCCTCACTCACATTAAAAGAAAGTGATAGTGCCAGTAGCAGGGGGAAGAGAGTAGCAGAATAAGGACAAGGGATAAATGACTAGTAGTACAATAGTGATTATTACTGATACTAGCATGATCTCGGCTCACTGAAACCTCCACCCCCCAGGTTCAAGCGATCTGATTCTCCTGCCTCAGCCTCCCGAGTAGCTGGGATTACAGGCACCTGCCAACACATCTGACTAATCTTTGTGTTTTTAGTAGAGACAGAGTTTCACCATGTTGGCCAGGCTGGTCTTGAACTCCTGACCTCAGGTGATCCACATGCCTCAGCCTCCCAAAGTGCTGGGATTACAAGTGTGAGCCTCCGTTGTTGTTAACTTGCAGAAGGTAGACTTGAATCCAAGTAAATAATTGTGAAACTGATTCTCTAATTCTTTTGTACACAAAATAATTGTTGCCACAAATTTGCTTGCTTTTCCATTATGTATTAGATTCTCAGATAATGTTTGTATATTTCAAAAGAATAAGACTCTTGCCAAAAAGTATCAAGTGTTTGAAAAATGCATATAGGCATTGCCTTTATAATATACTCACATGAAACTGTACAGAGAATAAATCATGATGGTAAGATTCAATATCGGTAGCAAATACTCATTAAAAAAACTCTGGAAATAATTCAAATATCTTACATTAAGAAATGGTTAAAAACTTACATAATGTGCATACCAAGCCATTACAATCCTTTTTTCAAAACAATGTTTAATTACACTGTCAGCCGTGGTACAGGTATAGTTGGAAACTAAGGAACAAAATGATGAGTAGAACAAGATCACAGTTTTTTTGTAGAATAAAAAGGCATATACAATGAGAATAAAATTTTCTAAATAAACATCACATATGTACATTGAGTTATATAAATAGAATTAAACCCATAATGAAATGGTACACATTTTAAATTGAGATAGAGATATGGGTAAATGATTTTCTTTTTCTAAATTTTCATACTTTTATAAAACTACTTACATTGATCTTCTATTACCATTACTTTCATAAAGACATCACAGAATGAGATCAGTGCTGATCTGTCTATAAATAGATGTTTTATTACTTCAATACTGGGTGGGTGAAGCAGACTTTTGGCAGTGAATGAGACAAAACATTGAACTCAAGTTACATTAAATGTGGCTACAGGCAACTGCAATTACACTGAGTTCCTGGATGCCTCATGAATTATCTCTAATAGCCATACACTGAATCTCCAATTAAAACTGATGTCAGGCCAGGCACAGTGGCTCATGCCTGTAATCCCAGCACATCGGGAGGCTGAGGCGGGTGGATCACAAGGTCAGGAGGTCAAGACCACTCTGGCCAAGATGGTGAAACCTGTCTCTACTAAAAACAGAAAAATTAGCCAGGCGTGGTGGCAGGTGCCTGTAATCCCAGCTACTCAGGAGACTGAGGCAGGAGAATTGCTTGAACCTGGGAGGCAGAGGTTGCAATGAGCCAAGATTGCATCATTGCACTCCAGCCTGGGTGACAGAGAAAGACTCCATCTGGAAAAAAAAAAAAGATGTCATAAAGTTAAATTATATTTTTTAAAAATACTTACCAATATATGGTCTGAATTGACATATTTTAGAATTTCTTTTTTTATTTGTAAACAGTTTTATAAAGAAATTTCCCCCAATGATTAGGACCAGAAAGTATATTTGTTATGACAGAAGGGGTTGGTCATTATTTTACTGAGAAAAAGAGAATTTAGAACAAAAGGGACAACAGCAACAAAAAGATGAGTATACAATTTTGATATGATATCCAGGAAACTTATGGGTCTACATTTCTTTTCCTCTTTCTCTCTCTCTTTTTTTTTTTTTTGGTGTGAGAATACATTGAGCGATGTGGCATTAGAGAATGGATTTAAGTTTAAAAACAGGGACACATCAGGAAACACAAGTCAGAATAATTCTCATTCATTTCAAAGCAAACACATATTCACCAGGAGCTTCATATAGTGTGAGGGAGCTACTCTAGGGGGTGAGCAGATCTCCACTGGAGAAAGTCCTGGTGACCTCTCCCACTGTGGTTCAAGTGCCCCCTGTGAGACACAGCAAAGTGATGATGAGGGTCCCCCACATTCAGTTATACATAGCACATCAAATTCACAGTGTGATTTCAGGACAAAAGGTGTCATAGTCATACCTAAGCAATGACCTGAGAAATAAGATCACTTAATTATGTAACTATATAGTATATAATACTGTATTATAAATGGAATTCTCAGAACTATTTCCCAGAAATTCCAAACCACAATACCAGACTGCTGAATGTCAGTGATTCTTATACTTCAGCTTTTAAGGTGTTTTTGGGGGGTGGGGGTGTCGGGGGCAGTGAGGGGTAGTGGGGTAAGACTAGGAAACCCTAACTTTAAGTGAAATATAAAGGGTTAGAGAGCTAGAAGCTAAATAAATGTAGATATAATATCATTCCAATTGTAACTAACTTTTCCTCATTGCTCATAGTCATGTAATGGCTCCAATGACTCCTAACTAAAAGAACTGAACAGAAAAAAATAAAATAAAATAAAACTACTCCAAATAAACACAAGAGATTTAGTAGAACCACAAAAAAAATTAGAATTGAAGCCAAGTAAAGCTACCTTCCAATAACCTATGTTAGTAATTATAATATTATAAATAAAGTGTCTGGGTGTAACATTTTCTAGCATTATCTCCTCCTACTGCAGTGTCATAGCTTTGTTTCATTTCCTCCTTACACACACATACATACATGCATATGCACACATATTTACACAAATTTGCATGAAAGATCCCACATATATTATATTACACATCTCCTTTCAAAGAAACTGAATGATTAGGTCAGTTTAAAAAAATTACTCCAATAGCTCCTGACTTTCTCATCTTAGATGTTTGTAACAATCCTGTCAATAGTGTTTTCTGTGCTGTTGCTCTTTTCTGATAGAACAAATTCTTTCTTCACAGGAAATGGAAGAGTTTGTGCAGAGCTCTGGAGAAAATGGTATTGTGGTGTTTTCTCTGGGGTCGATGATCAGTAACATGTCAGAAGAAAGTGCCAACATGATTGCATCAGCCCTTGCCCAGATCCCACAAAAGGTTAGATAAAGTGCCTTAACTGTGGATGGCTACTAAATGAATCTGTTAAACTCTTCAAGAGTCCATTACAGAAATGTTCTGCCTGAAAATTTAACTGCTATGATAGTTCTAATTATCTCAGACATCTGTTCAAAGCAAAAACATATATGGAAGATCTTAAAATCATAAAGAGAGGAGTTTTGGTTGATAATAACGTTGGCATTAATATTGTGATCAGAAGGAAATATATTTAAGAGGTGCTAGTGAAGTTTGGTATTATCATGGTATCGTAGCATGTACATAGAAATCACTAAATTCTGCCCTGTCATTTGCTCCTTTTGGTTTACAGGATTTTAGAAGGTACTGTATACACTGTAGATATTATCAAAAAGCAGTTAAATTTTAATAAGTTACTGTACTATCACAATAACAATAAGCAGGTATTGAAAAAACTTTGAAATGCATCATGCAGCTTCGTCTTACCAAGCAATCTGGCTGTTTTTACTTCCCATGCATTGGAATAGGTCTATTTAGCGTTCTGTTCAGGGTGCCATTCAGAGAAAGAATGTCCTAGTCTGACTAGCCACTGCTCTGGAGGTACCCACCTAGCCAAGTAGATTTAGAGAAAAAAAAAAAAAACTTGTCTGCTCTGCTGACTTGGGTGCCACTAATGTCTTAAGCAGAAAAATGTAATGGAAAGGATGGAGATAGAATCCTGCTTTTAGGGTAGACTATGTGCATTATTAAATGTGGCCCAACAAAGACTATGCTCTAAGAATCAGATTAGTGCCTTCTCCAGATTGAGGAAGGAGCAGAAAATATAAATAAACATGGTAGGAACTTATTTTCTAATCTATACAATCTTTGTGTATTTTCAATTTACGTTTTAGTTTCTTATCTGACATAGCCCTCTCTGAATGATCTATGCAAGTTTTTGCTGAAAACACAGAGTTACTTTAACACTCCCATATCAAATACAAGGTCAACACTTGTAAATTCTACTCCAGTTTATAAAGATTGCTTGGGAATTCTAAAATCAGTACCTTAGTTTGGTACTAGACATGGTAATGACTGGCTATAGCTGACCATATATCAAGGCTGTCAATGCTAGGTAGTGCATCATCTAAGTGTGAAAGATCAGTTAAGCAAAATGCAGCAAAATACAATTTTCTACATTTTCAGCATCTGTATTGTTAATCATGAATTGTCAATGGGCTCCTTTTTCCTACATTGTTAGCATTTACAAAAGTAGCAATACTGATAATAGTCTGAATTTGTGTCAAACACTGCCACTTGAAATTTTTCCTGAAAGTAGCACTTGATAGTTAGCAAATGAAAAGAAATTACACATACTACATATGTAGCATTATTTCTCACCATATGTGCAGTTTAAATATTTAGTCTTTTGTAATCAATGATGTCAAATTCATAAAATAACTTATGACTAGTAGACAAGTGGATATAAGTAAACTCTTCTCATATCACTCAAAAATTAATAAATTTATATTAAATTTGGAAGGTTACAGCTAGTATAAAGTATATAAAATAAATATATAGGTTATTACTAATTTGCTACTTTTTTATTACTAGAATTAAGACTGCCTAACAATTCTTAAATATTTGAATATTTCATTGATAATCTTGTGAACCCCAAATATCTGATACAGGTCTCAGTACATTTAGAAAGTTTATTTTTGCCAACTTGAAGCAGGGAGGAGGCATTCCTTTGACTTTCTGATTAGCCTCTCCAAGGAGGCAATCAGATATGCATTTATCCCAGTGAGCAGAGGGGTGACTTTGAATAGAATGGGAGGCAGTGATTTGCTTAGTGACTTTGGGGCCCCCAGGCTTATTTTCCTTTTACATTTAAAAAAAATCTTTTGGAGAAAGCATTTTAGAAGAAAATGAGTCTCTGGTCTCAGGTTTTCATCTGATCTCTAATGGCAAGGAAGGTTTATTCCTAAGCAGGTCCTGAGTTATTAGGAAAGTTCATTTTTAGTAGGTTGTGAAGTCTCATGTCCTATGAAGACAAAATAAAGGGAGAAAGGGAGAAAAACAAAACCAAACAAAAGAAAAATCCTTGAAAATTAATATAGGCCCATTACTCTGAAGTCCATAAATCAGTAGGCAGGTAAGAAAGTGGATTATGTATGTAAATTGGCTGCTGTTATTTTCTTCTGAAGTTTAAGTTGTCTAGCTTAATTTGTAGGGCTTTATGAAAGCATGACTTAGTTTACAGTGACTCCAAACTAGGAAAAATGGTGGAAAGGGAGGAAAAAAAACCTGAAGACACTATTTTGAAGACGTGTAGCCATGAAAAATTAGAATTCAGTCCAAACTGTAGACAGTAATAAAAGTTGAAAAACATTAGGCAAGACTAGAATCTAACAACAGGTATACTGTTATTTTTGAAACATAATTTTTCTGTCTTCAGTTTCCCAATTTTACTAAAGACAAACCATGGTACAACTGATTTGCTTTATTATACTTGGCCTGATTATTGTATACAGAGGAGGAAGAATAATTTTTTATTTACATAGGCTTTTAAAGTGGCTTTGATGGAACTTTGTCTTATAGAAAGAATCTCAGATAGGACTTTTTTAAAGCTGAGGAAAGCCATAGATTTCTACCATCAAATACCTACGAGTTGGGTGAATTCCTCTCCTCTTGGGGTTCCAAAATAAACTTGGGGTTCCTGGGCCTGTCAGAAAGTTACATTCTTTGCTTAACACAGTTCAGGAACCCTGTACAGGGACCTTATAGATGAAGGTATGAGGCCAGTTTTCCCAAGGGGTTTTATTGGCTCCATAAGTTAAGTTTGATTCCCTAAAGGAAAGCCCACCATACCAGTGGAAGCCTTGATAAAATAACCAGTTTCTCCAATTGTGTTTTGTTAAAAATGAAAATAGATTCTTATTGCACTTATGCAAATAACTGTATTGACAAAAGTAAAAAATACTCACAAATAGTTTCCAAATTCTGAAAAATCAGGTAGAGGGAAACAAATATGTTCTAAATTTTTTTCATAGGAGTATACTAAATTGTTAAAAGCTGTTAATAGCTCAAAAAAAAAAAGATTCCTTCACTCTGAAAAAAAAACAAAACAAAGGATCAGCAATGTTTTAAGCAAAGTCTAAAAGATTACTTTAGTTTTTTATTATTTCAGTCCATGTAGTTAATTCCTGTTCTGCTTGATACTCATGAACATTTTAGTTCTCCATGAGTCCTGAAAGTTTTTCTTCCATTCTAATGTCACAATCTCCAAAATTATCAAAAACTTTTTTTCAAGAGCACCTGTTAGAATTTTATGGCTGAGTATAAAATCGCCTTCTAAAGAGGACCAAAGTAAGACAACAATTGTCTGTGGAGGACAAAAAGTTTTAGGGCAGACTCAGTCAAAGACACAATGGACAAGGAAATTTGTTACCTCTGTGGCACACAATAACTTAACACATATAATTGTTACTGATAACGTACACACTAAGTCATATCAGAATTATAGGAGTTTCCCATAATTTTGGAACACATAACAATAACATACTTATATAAATACAGCTCAAAAAGACCAAACACCATTTCATATTTGACAATGTTTCCTGTATAATTTTTATACAAAATAAACCAAATTATGTCATTTTTGGATGTTAGGGAAACTAATAAATTAAAGGATTACTTAGGTCAGAAAAAATCATAATTTATAATTTGTTTGGAAAATTTCTCAAATATCAAAGGTTTAAAACACTTAATATCACAGGTAAGATAAATCATTCATTTGACTAATGTGGTAACTCAAGGATTTCAAAAAAAGGCAAAAATCTTCATTCTTTGAGAGAGGAGACTCAATTTGCCAAACAATAAGCCCTAATAAAATAGCATGAAGCCAAATAACTTTGTTTTTCAAAATTTTATGAACAATCTATAAAATTCTAATCTTGACCATAAGATATAACTTTCCTCAGCCTTTCATAACCTTTATAATCTTTATTAAGAAGTCAGTTTATGCTTCCAGAAAACCTTGTTAATCTGACACAGGGGCCCATATGTTGGTCTTGCATTAGTGTGTCTTTGACATTAATGATTAATTTGTAAATAAACTAACTTATCTCTCAGTATCAGTTCTTAAAATCTCACACACCCACCTCTTCTGTGATAGTCCCTGGACCTTGAGGAGCTGAATAGCTTTTAGAAAGCACTGTTAGCATTATGCCACAACAAACAGAACTTGAGGAAAAAAACTTATATGAGTTGAAAATGAGTTGAAGGATAGTGTTGCCATTTCACACCCTTTATGGTTTAGCTTTGAAATAAAAATGATAACAGTTTTTTCCCAAAACAAACCTTACTGCCTGTGGACTAGATTGCTTAAGGCCACAGGGTTAGAAGTTATGATAATCTTACTTAATTCAAGATGTGGCTATTTTCATTAAACCAATATCAATGTCTTATTTATTAAAAAATTACACAAGCAAAGATCATTCTGTTTTGTGCTTGGTTTACAGTTTTGTAACCCTTATGTCAAATTTTGACACCTTAAAGTATTTGGCAACAATAAGTATGAAATTGTTTGATTAATAAATGCAAACAAAAATATATGCTGGAAATTCTTAAGACATTTCTAATATTATCATACTTTAGCAATAATTGTAAAGTTATCTTATTTATAAAAGATTTTATTGAAGTTACATAAACTTGAAAAAGCATTTGACTAGTCTTTTTTTTCTGGCAAAGTATTTAATTCAAGCACTTTTATTTTCTTAAGCCAATTAATTAGAGCTCTTTTATATATTTTCAGTAATAAAACATTGTGTACAAAACACATAAATACATACACACATTAAGCATGCCAATAGAAGTACATCTTATAGATTTATGAAAACTACATTTTGCCATATTAGACTTCCAAATTCTTGATAACCTGTTTCAATAGGTAATCTGTATGAATACTTGATCACCATAGGCAGTTGTAAGCTAAATAGTCTTACATTTGCATATTAAAAGAAACCAAGTGAAAATTAAATAGCAAAATTTACATCATAAGGTACAGAGACAAAAAATTTGGTGTGCTGGAAGGAAAATAAAATGGATTCAATTGCCTATTAAACATAAAATTATAGAAATTATAATGGCCTTTTAAATATATGCAAACACATGTACACACACACAAAAGATTCTATGGCTTTTACTTCAGAACTTTAGCCATGAGATAAAAAAAATTGACCAGCTTGCAGACAAAAACCTGTTGAATCCATAGTGTGGTTTTTATCTTAATAGAAAAATAAAAGCAAATTTAAAGCAAGAAGAAAAGAATTTTTTTTAAAAAGAGAGAACTTAGGAACTCTATAGCTTGCAGGACAACCTAGGGTTCTTAATGTATATGTGCACAAAGACCGTATTACCTTCATTTTACATAAACTCTGCCAAGTAGAGGTGTCATAAAACCTACCAAGTGATATCAGGGGGTCATTCTTCTTGTTTTCTCATCATTCTTAGATTATTTGTTTCCCACTTTTTTTCCTAAAAGGAGGAACTGAGCTGTGGCCTAGGGTTTATGTGTGGTGAATCAATGTGTGCTGCTTGTGGGCAGTACTCCACAGTGTGTCACCACTGAGTTGTTTCCACCCTCTTACATGTCTCAGTTTCTCTCTCCAGAGGTGTATGACCTCTGAGAGGGCTCAAAATGCTGGGTGATCTGCCCTCATATGTGTTTCCTGGACTAGCCTTTTTTTAAAAGTTAATTTTTCTTGGGGATTTCCCTGCAGGGCCACTCCATGTCACAGGGGGTCAACCCCAAGACACTCCCACAAGGCCCCCAGTTGCTTAGGGGTGCCTTTTGCCTGGGAGGAGCAGATGCCCTTTCACTTTGGAGCTGAGAAAACTCAGTCTCTCATTTTCCTATGTAAACCACAGTTCAGTTTCTCACACAAATCCACACAGACAAGCCAAATGAGATTAATTTGGGGAATAAAAACAATAGAGGAGACCCTTTACAACACATCTCCAAACTAGAATTAGGATTCTTAAACAACAACTTCCTAGGAGGAAAAAAATAGCAACAGTCAATACTACTTCCAGTAAACTGTACTCAGCCACCCCCTACTTTGTAACTCGTCTGCCATTACACATGCCAAGGTAAAATCCTCTCACAGTACAAGGTAATCTGTGGTAATCTCAAAGCCAAAGAGATCAGGTCATTCAACATAGGAAAACAGAGCTTTGGACTGAGAAAAAAATCTGCCCACAACTCTTGGAACTCCACAAAGAAAACAGACACCCCTAAAGGGGTGAGTGGTGCCTTTGTTCTGAATTCTTTAAAAGAGTTCAAGTCATTAGAAGCCTTCTCTAGATTTTTCATACTGCAAATGGCAAAAGGCAAAAGGAGGTATAGGGTGGAGGAAAAGTAAACAAAAGAACATTTGTTTTTTTAAAGACAGGAAGCAAACACAGAAACCAAGAGCATGGTTTTTAGGTTTTGTTTTGTTTTGTTTTGTTTTCTCTTTTGCGTCTGCAAAGAATTTTAGCCAAATTAGACAGGCTTTGTTACCCACAATTTGGAATTCTCACTCAGATTTGATCAAGTCAGGTAAAGTTCATCAAATCTGATGGGAGAAATACTGGAATGTACAAAAAAAAAAAAAATCCCAGAAATGTGATCACTAAGCACTGTAATGGTAAGGAGAAATTAAGTCCAGCTAGTTGTTAAACATTAACCAAGACAAAACCGCAATTCAGCTGTTTACCTACGGATGGGTTTCAGGCCAAAACTGCCCTCTGCCATCCTAGAATCAGGAAAGAAACCTCAAATTCATCCTCCCTCCTGGGAGCGAGCTCAAACTCCATAGAGTTACCTGCCTTCCATTGTCATGGAAACAGGAAATCTTGCCTTTCTTGTAGGAAGCAAGTAAAACTCCAAAAAAAACAAAAAGGAGTTGTACAGCAAAATAAACTTCAGATCTTGTCTGAATTTTGGGGTATCAGAGATTCTCTGGAGGGGTTGCTCCCAGACCTCAGCCAATTGTCTTCTTTGTTTGAGCCATAAATTTAGCTCATGCTGGTACCAAGCACTGATAGGACATTTATCAAAGGTCAGGGAACCTCCACTCAGAATCTCTTCATGGTTACCAAAATATGAACCCTGAATATATGAGACAGTTCTCAGATAATTTAGAAAGTTTATTTTGCCAAGGTTGAAAATGTGCACCCATGACACAGCCTCAGGAGGTCCTGATGACATGTGTCCAAGGTGGTGGGGGGACAGTTTGGTTTTATACATTTTAGGGATACATGAGACATCAATCAACATATATAAGATGAACATTTGTTCGGTCCAGAAATGGGGGACAGCTAGAAACAAAGGCAGAGCAACTTGAAGCATGGAAGGGGCTTCCAGGTCATAGGTAGATGAGAGACAAATAGCTGAATTCCTTTGAGTTTCTGATTAGCCTCTCGAAATGAGGCAATTTGATATTCATTTATCTCAGTGAGTCAAGGGCTGACTTTGAATAGAATGGGAGGTAGGTTTGCCCTAAGCAGCTTAACTTTTCCCTTTAGCATAGAGTTTGGGTTGCCAAGATTTATTTTCCTTTCACAATCTCATGTGTCTAGCTATTATGTTAGAAATGTCATTATTTCTTTATATACAAAATTGATTATAAAAGTAACGACATTAAACGTGGGTATTCAACTTACCTCAAACTTTTAGTAGTTCTCATTACTTGACATCACTTCTTCTTATTTCTTCATCTTTTATATGGATTAACTAACTGATTATTAATCTCTTCAGAATTCTAACATGCTATGTTTTTAGAGTTCTATTCATTGAACAAGATATTTTCCTTGCCCTAACAGGTTCTATGGAGATTTGATGGCAAGAAGCCAAATACTTTAGGTTCCAATACTCGACTGTACAAGTGGTTACCCCAGAATGACCTTCTTGGTAAGATTCTGGAGAACAAACAGTGAATATATTAGTAACAGCAAATTGGAGTGATAATAGTTCAACATAAAACAAACATATTTAGCATTTATTATTGGAAAACTAAAAAACAAATCAAATTTAACTACTTTATATTTATTTTCCAGTCTTAGTATAAAAAGAATGCACTATAGTAGTTGGCATTTTATTACATACAGTCACATTCTTTATGGTCAGAATAAAAATCTCTTTGTTCAGGTGTAATTTCCTCTCACAGGTTTTAAATAACATCCTGGATTTTCTGTCTGTCTCCTATTTATGCAGCTTTACCTCTGTTCTTTCCCCTACTGCAGGGTTATTTCAACAGGCACTGAAAAATAGCGGACACTTTTCTATTACCAGTGACTCTACTTTTTATGGGAATAAATAACCAATCTTTATCATGATAAAATGATAACACATTTCATGATGATGCATAACTGGTCCTTCCTCAGCCCCACCTCCACCCTACTCCCTGCTGCCTTTTAAAAAAAATTAAATATTTTAAATATTTTAAGTATTTAAATATTTTTTAAATATGTAAATGTGACCTCATTATTTATAATACTTAAAAGACCACGTTCTTGTATACCCAATCTTATTCTTTTTTTTGCACATTTTAATTTTTTAATTAAGAATATGCTTTTTCATTTTGTTCACCTGGCAATTCTTCTGAAATTTGAAAACAATTTCAATGCAGTTTTGTGGGTATAATGTTACCTAGGGAACAGTTTTGCTTTAAGTTCCTTATATTGTGCATTTCTTATTCAATTCTCATACCTTGTAATTAATAATTTTGTTAAAATGCATCCACTTTTAGGTCATCCCAAAACCAAAGCTTTTATAACTCATGGTGGAACCAATGGCATCTATGAGGCGATCTACCATGGGATCCCTATGGTGGGCATTCCCTTGTTTGCGGATCAACATGATAACATTGCTCACATGAAAGCCAAGGGAGCAGCCCTCAGTGTGGACATCAGGACCATGTCAAGTAGAGATTTGCTCAATGCATTGAAGTCAGTCATTAATGACCCTGTGTGAGTATTACAGTTTTGTGACCAGGTGGTATTTATAAATTATTTTGTCAACAGTGAATATGAATTTTAACCCGTTTTTAAGAGACTAATTTTGAAGGGATTGAAGTGATTTAACCAATGTAAAATCTGTCCTTACTTTCCACCAGACAGTTTATTTCAAAGTTACATTTCAACCCCACAGATTTAATGGGTCACCAATGACTGCAATGAATTATAAAATCAAAAAAATTAAAGATATGTAGATAATTATTTTAAATATTTTTAATGATAGAATGCACAATGAAAAGAAAGAACATAACTAGAGAAATATGATATTTCAATTCAATACCTAAAATTTCTGAAAGTATGAATCTATTCTTTCTCAAAAATTTATTTTTATTATCATTATTTTAAGAAATGTGATAATGAATTATAATTTGCATAGCATAACATTCACTAAAATTTAAAATCTAAATATATTTAGTATGTTTACATAGTTACAAAGCCACAGCCCTAAAGAACATTTTAATGAATTCAAATTAAACTCATAATGTATGAAGTCACTCCCAATAAACCTCTAGTCCTAGAAAAATACCATCTTACTTTGTTTCTCAATAGATTATTCTCTTCACATATTTTATATAAATGAAATCATACAATTTATGGTGTTTCATAAATGACTTCTTTCACTTAGCATAATTAGTTTTAGTTTTATTTATGTTGTAGGATGTATCAGAACTCATTCATTTTTATTTCTATATAATATTCTTTGATATGTTTATACCAAAATTACCCATTTATCAGGTCATGGACATTTTAGGTCTTTCCAATTTTGGCATTTATGAACATTGTTATACATATTTTCCGTGTAAAAATATGTTTTTACTTCTTTTGAGGAGATGCTAGGAGTGGACTTGCTGAGACATATGGGAAATTGTTGTTTATGAAGAACTGCTAAACTGTTTTTCAAAGTATTTGCATCATTTTTCATTACCACCAGCTGGATAGGAGGGCTCTAATTTCTTCACACTCTTCCCAACACTTGTTATCACCTGTCTTTCTATTACAGCCATTCTAGTGTGTGTAAAGTGGTCTCTCATTATGGTTTTCATTTGCATTTCCTTATGGCTGAAGATGTTAACCCTCTTTTCATGTGCTTACTGGTCATTCACACATCTTCCTTAGATAAATTTCTATTTTAATCTTGTGAATATTTTGTCTTTTTCTATTTATCTTATGGATTCATAAGAATTATTTATATATTATAGATACAATCCCTTATCAAATATGTGATTTTCAAATATTTTCTTCCACTATGGACAGATAGATTTTTTTTTTTACTTTTTGGAAGATGCCTTTTGAAATACAAAGGTTTCAATGTTGATAAAATAAATATGTAATACTTAACTTTTCCATAATCCAAAGGAAATACTATGAAAAATGCTGTGCCTAGACCAGCTACCATCAATTCAGAGTCTATTACTCCTACCAATATTATTATGAGGTTAGGTGGTACCAGCTAAGGGAATACATTAAAAACACTTTACCAAAAAATTAGTAAGACAAGAAATGATTTAAGATACTTCAAAAAAAGTAAGAAAGTAAAGAAACATAAAACAGGTTAGAAAATTAAAATATATATATATATAGAATAAGATGCTGGATTTAAATGTGAACTAGAGAAAGAAATAAAGGGTATTCAAATAGGAAGGGAAGAAGTTAAATTGTCTCTGTTTGCAGATGACATAATTCTATAGTTAGAAAACCCCTTTGTCGCAGCTCCAAAATTCCTTAAGCTGATAAGCAACTTCAGCAAAGCCTCTGGATACAAAAATCAATATGCAAAAATCACAAGCATTACTATACACTGACAGTACATGATTTGACAGAGAGCCAAATCATGAATAAATTCCCATTCACAATTGCAACAAAGAGAATAAAATACCTAGGCATATGCCTAACAAGGGATGTGAAGGACCTCTTCAGGGAGGACTAGAAACCACTGCTGAAGGAATTAAGACAGGACACAAACAAATGGAAAAACATTCCATCCTCATGGATAAAAAGAATCAATATTGTAAAAATGGCCATGCTGCCCAAAGTATTTTATATATTCAAAGCTATTCCCATCAAACTACCATTGACATTCCTCACAGAATTAGAAAAAAACTACTTTAAATTTCATATGGAAACAAAAAAGAGCCCATATAACCAAGGCAATCCTAAGCAAAAAGAACAAAGCTGGAGGCATCATGCTACCTGACTTCAAACTGTACTACAAGGCTACATAACCAAAACAGAATGGTACTGGTACCAAACAGATATATAGACCAATGGAACAGAACATAGGCCTCAGAAATAACACTACACATCTACAACCCTCTGATTGTTAACAAACCTGACAAAAACAAGCAACTGGGGAAAGGATTCCTTATTTAAGAAATGTTTTGGAAAAACTGGCTAGCCATATGGAGAAAACTGCCACTGGATTCCTTCCTTACACCTTACAGTAACCAAACCAGCATAGTACTGGAACAAAGACAGACATATAGACCAGTGGAACAGAACAGAGGCCTCAGAAAAACACCACACATCTACAACCATCTGATCTTTGACAAACCAGACAAAAACAAGCAATGGGGAAAGGATTCCCTATTAAATAAATGGTGCTGGAGAAACCGGCTAGCCATACGCAGAAAACGGAAACTAGTCCCCTGCCTTACACCTTATACAAAAATTAACTCAAGATGGATTAAAGACTTAAATGTAAAACCCAAAACCATAAAAACTCTAGGAGAAAACCTAGGCAATATCATTCAGGACATAGGCATGGGCAAAAATTTCATGACACAAACACCAAAAGCAATTGCAACAAAAGCCAAAATTGACAAATGGGGTCAAATCAAACTAAAGAGCTTCTGCACAGCAAAATAAACTATCGTCAGAGGGAACAGGCAACCTACAGAATGAGGGAAGATTTTTGCAATCTATCCCTCTGACAAAGGTCTAATATCCGGAATCTACAAGAAAGTTAAACAAATTTACAAAAAAAAAAAAAAAACAACACCATCAAAAAGTGGGCAAAAGATATAAACAGACACTTCTTAAAAAAAGACATTTATGCAGCCAACACACTTATGAAAAAAGCTCAATATCACTGATCATTAGAGAAATGCAAATCAAAACCACAATGAGATACAATCTCATGCCAGTCAGAATGGCGATGATTAAAAAGTCAAAAAACAACAGATCCTGGTGAAGCTGGGGAGAAATAGGAAAGCTTTTTACATTTTTGACGGGAATGTAAGTTAGTTCAACCATCATGGAAAACAGTGTGGTGATTCCTCAAAGACCTAGAACCAGAAACACCATTTGACCTAGCAATCTCATTACTTCGTATATACCCAAAGGCATATAAATCATTCTACTATAAAGACACATGCACATGTATGTCTATTGCAGCGCTATCTACAATATCAAAGATATGGAACCAACCCAAATGCTCATCAGTGATAGACTGGATAAAGAAAATATGATACATGTACACTATGGAATACTATGCACCATAAAAAGGAATGAGATCATGTCTGTTGCAGGGACACGGATGAAATGCAAAGCCATTATCCGCAGCAACTAACACAGGAACAGAAAACCAAACACCACATGTTCTCACTTATAAGAGGGAGTTGAACAATGAGAATACATGGACTCAGGGAGGGGAACAACACACACCGGGGGATGGAAGGGGAGTGAGAGTATCAGGACAAATAGCTAATACATGAGGGGCTTAAAATCTAGATGACAGGTTGATCGGTGCTGCAAACCACCATGGCACGTATATACGTATGTAACAAACCTGCACATTCTGCACATGTATACTGGAACTTAAAGTAAAAATAAAACTTTTTAAAAAAATTTGAACTGACCAGGTGCAGTGACTCACGCCCGTAATCCCAGCACTTTGGGAGGCTGAGGAGGGCAGATCACGAGGTCAAGATATCGAGACCATACTCCTGGCCAACATAGTGAAACCCTGTCTCTACTAAAAATACAAAAATTATCTGGGCATGGTGGTGTGCACCTATAGTCCCAGCTACTCAGGAGGTTGAGGCAGGAGAATCACTTGAACCCGGGAGACGGAGGTTGCAGTGAGCCGAGATAGTGCCACTGAACTCCTGGTGACAGAGCGAGACTCCATCTCAAAAAAAAACAAAAAAGCAAAAAAACAAAAAAGTGAACCTACCAGTACTCACATTAAATTTAAGCAGACCAAAAAGAAAAGACAAAATAGTGATCTTTGAAATATTTTATTTAAGGAGATAAAACATTTGAAGTACACAATTAAATGTAATCTATGTGTTATATATGTGTGTGTGTATATATATTGCACATTTATCTGTATATATGTATCCATACATATATCTCTGGTTGTGTGTGTGTAGACAGAAAATAAACATTTTTAAAAGAGTTTATGGAGACCGGGTGTGGTGGCTCACACCTGTAATCCCGACACTTTGGGAAGCCAAAGTGGGAGGATCACATGAGGTCAGGAGTTAAGAGACCAGCCTGGCCAACATGGTGAAATCCTGTGTCCACTAATAATACAAAACTTAGCCAGATGTAGGGGATGAGCACCTGTAGTCCCAGATACTTGGGAGATTGAGGCATGAGAATCACTTGAACCCAGGAGATGCAAATTGCAGTCAGCCAAGATCACTCCATTGCACTCAAGCCTGGGTGACAGAGAGACTCTGTCTCAAAAAAAAAAAAAGATTATATGAAATAGTTACCTGAATTTACCATATGCTGGGCCATAAATAAACACTAAGTAAATTGTATAAGATTCAAATTCATAAAAATTATATGTTCTAGTCATACTAGAAATAAATTATAAATCATCCAAAAACGATAACTGAAAACAATCTGATTCTTTAAAATAAAAAATATTTTTTAAAAAATTCAGTCAACAAAAAATTCTAATTATAAATGTGCCTTTCTCTCATCAACTATTCTTCCAAGTATACATCCAACAAAAATGAATAAATATTTAAACCTAATAAAATATACAAATATCTTAATACCATAATTATTAGTAAGGTCAAAAAATGTTAACAACACAAATATCCATTAATCACAAAATGAAGAGATCATCTGTGGTCTTTGTCAATCAACTGAATACTCTCTACACCAATGCTATTAAACAACTGCTAACCAAAAACAGAAATGAATATGTATTATTTAATTCAATTATATAAACAATACTAATCTATGATATCAGAAATCAGGTTAATACTTACTTTGAGGATAAAAATAGTGACTAAAATGGCCCAGGAGGAGAGAGTTCTTCTATGCAGTTTGTGATAAATTGGTGTCTTCACTTTGGGATAATGTTTAAGATAATCTTAAAATTTTGAGGTAGTCACATAGTATATATACATTTATCCTATGTATTTCATACTTGAAGTTTTACTGTAGAAGATATACAACATATTTTAAAGTTCCAGAAATCAAATAGCAAAGTAAGCATGAAGCACTAGAGAAATCCTATGGGTGCCTATAGTGTGGCCAGGAAAAGACTCTCCAAGAGGTATCATACAAGGGGAAGCCTCAAAAAGAAATAGAAGCAAACCTCAAGTAGTTGCAAGAAAGAATGCTCAATGAGAGAGACACGGGGAACAAAAGGTGTAAAGGGGCTAAGGTGAGAACACCTTCAGGAGTTTAGAGAAAAACCGAAGGCCATTGTCTCTAGAAGAAAGTGTACAGGGGGAAAGGGCTAGGACAAGTAGGTGCCTGTGTAGAGTTCTCTAGACCAAAGACAGATTTGGAATTTATTCTTAATGTAACAAGAAACCAGATGGAAATCTTAACAGGTGAGTGTCATAATTTGATATTAATTTGGAAAATATTCTGGCTACTAGAAGGAAAATATGGTAGAAGACAAAAGATTAGAGTAGAAGCTGAGAAACTAGTTAGGAGGCATTTCACCAGTTGTGTCACAATTCTTCTTTAAATACGTCAAAATGGGCTGGGCACAGTGGTTCATGTCTGTAGGGCCAACACTTTGGGAGGCAGAGGCAGGAGAATGACTTGACTACAGGAGTTCCAGACCAGTATGGGCACTACAGCAACACCTCATATCTAAAAGTGTAAAAAATAAAAAAATATAGCCAGGCATGGTGGTGTGCAGTTGTAGTCCTAGCTTCTCATGAGACTGAGATGTAGGATTACTTGAGACCGAAAGAGAAAGGCTGAACTGAGCCATGATCATGTGACTGCACTCAGCCTGTGTAATGGAGCAAAAGCCTGTCTCAAAAAATAAAAAAAAATTAAAAAGATCAAAAAGATCATTCTCAAATTCCATTTCCACTATCTTACTTATAGCACTTAGAATGGCTCATAATATTTTCTGCTCCAGAAAACATTAACTTTCCCACCGAAAATTCCATTTTTCATTTTTAAAGGTATTTGTCAGTGATAAAACTCCAATTTAAAAACCAAACTTTCTGTAATGACATGAATTAAAACATTGAAATTTCATGCCAATTCAGTGACACTTACTTTCAATCATTTGTGTGACACTTTTCAAAGACCATCCATAGACTTGATATGCTTAAGCAATAAATTTACTTTTAATGTTGATATCTTTATATTTATCCTTCAGCTATAAAGAGAATGTCATGAAATTATCAAGAATTCATCATGACCAACCAATGAAGCCCCTGGATCGAGCAGTCTTCTGGATTGAGTTTGTCATGCGCCACAAAGGAGCCAAGCACCTTCGAGTCGCAGCTCACAACCTCACCTGGATCCAGTACCACTCTTTGGATGTGATAGCATTCCTGCTGGCCTGCGTGGCAACTGTGATATTTATCATCACAAAATTTTGCCTGTTTTGTTTCCGAAAGCTTGCCAAAAAAGGAAAGAAGAAGAAAAGAGATTAGTTATATCAAAAGCCTGAAGTGGAATGACTGAAAGATGGGACTCCTCCTTTATTTCAGCATGGAGGGTTTTAAATGGAGGATTTCCTTTTTCCTGTGACAAAACATCTTTTCACAACTTACCTTGTTAAGACAAAATTTATTTTCCAGGGATTTAATACGTACTTTAGCTGGAATTATTCTATGTCAATGATTTTTAAGCTATGAAAAATACAATGGGGGGAAGGATAGCATTTGGAGATATACCTAATGTTAAATGACGAGTTACTGGATGCAGCACGCCAACATGGCACATGTATACATATGTAGCTAACCTGCACGTTGTGCACATGTACCCTAAAACTTAAAGTATAATTTAAAAAAAGCAAAAAAAAAAAAATACAACTCTTTTTTTTAAACCAGGAAGGAAAATGTGAACATGGAAACAACTTCTAGTATTGGATCTGAAAATAAAGTGTCATCCAAGCCATAAAAAAAAAAGAAAAGAAAAATAAAAATAATATAAAACCTTATGGGCTTATATTGATATTTATTATTCTAATCCAAAAGTTACACACGAAAGTTACTGAGCTTCATTATGTTTCACACATTGTATTTGAACACAACAACATTAAGAACTCCACTCATAGTATCAACATTGTTTTGCAAATACTCAAAATATTTTGGCTTCATTTTGAGCAGAATTTTTGTTTTACTTTAGCCAATGAAATCTTCAAGAATTAGGAGGAGGAGCCAAGATGACCAAATAGGAACAGCTCCAGTCTACAGCTCCCAGCGTGAGTGACACAGAAGACGGGTGATTTCTGCATTTCCATCTGAGGTACCGGGTTCATCTCACTAAGGAGTGACAGACAGTGGGCACAGGACAGTGGGTGCAGCACACTGTGTGTAAGCTGAAGCAGGGCAAGGCATTGCCTCACTGAGGAAGTGCAAGGGGTCAGGGAGTTCCCTTTCCTAGTCAAAGAAAGGGGTGACAGATGGCACCTGGAAAATTGGGTCACTCCCACCTGAATACTGCACTTTTCCAATGGGCTTAAAAAACGGTGCACCAGGAGATTATATCCCGCACCTGGCTTGGAGGGTCCTACACCCACAGAGTCTCACTGATTGCTAGCACAGCACTCTGAGATCAAACTGCAAGATGGCAACAAGGCTGGGGGAGGGGCACTTGCCATTGCCCAGGCTTGCTTAGGTAAACAAAGCAGCCAGGAAGCTCGAACTGGGTGGAGCCCACCAGAGCTCAAGAAGGCCTACCTGCCTCTGAAGGCCCCACCTCTGGGGGCAGGACACAGACAAACAAAGAGACAGCAGTAACCTCTGCAGACTTAAATGTCCCTGTCTGACAGCTTTGAAGAGAGAAGTGGTTCTCCCAGCACGCAGCTGGAGATCTGAGAATGGGCAGACTGCCTCCTCAAGTGGGTCCCTGACCCCTGACCCCTGAGCAGCCTAACTGGGAGGCACCCCCCAGTAGGGGAGAACTGACACCTCACAAGGCCGGGAACTCCTCTGAGACAAAACTTCCAGAGGAACGATCAGACAGCAGCATTCGCGGTTCACGAAAATCTGCTGTTCTGCAGCCACCACTGCTGATACCCAGGCAAACAGGGTCTGGAGTGGACCTCTAGCAAATTCCAACAGACCTGCAGCAGAGAGTCCTGTCTGTTAGAAGGAAAACTAACAAACAGAAAGGACATCCACACCAAAAACCCATCTGTACATCACCATCATCAAAGACCAAAAGTAGTTAAAACCACAAAGATGGGGGGAAAACAGAGCAGAAAAACTGGAAACTCTAAAAAGCAGAGCACCTCTTCTCCTCCAAAGGAACACAGTTCCTCACCAGCAATGGAACAAAGCTGGACGGAGAATGACTTTGATGAGTTGAGAGAAGAAGGCTTCAGACGATCAAACTACTCCAAGCTACAAGAGGAAATTCAAACCAAAGGCAAAGAAGTTGAAAACTTTGAAAAAAATTTAGACGAATGTGTAACTAGAATAACCAATACAGAGAAGTGCTTAAAGGAGCTGATGGAGCTGAAAGCCAAGGCTCGAGAACTACGTGAAGAATGCAGAAGCCTCAGGAGCCGATGTGATCAACTGGAAGAAAGGGTATCAGTGATGGAAGGTCAAATGAATGAAACGAAGTGAGAAGGGAAGTTTAGAGAAAAAAGTATAAAAGGAAATGAACAAAGCCTCCAAGAAATATGGGACTATGTGAAAAGACCAAATCTACGTCTGATTAGTGTACCTGAAAGTGACAGGGAGAATGGAACCAAGTTGGAAAACACTCTGCAGGATATTATCCAGGAGAACTTCCCCAACCTAGCAAGGCAGGCCAACATTCAGATTCAGGAAATACAGCGAATGCCACAAAGATACTCCTCGAGAAGAGCACCTCCAAGACACATAATTATCAGATTCACCAAAGTTGAAATGAAGGAAAAGATGTTAAGGGCAGCCAGAGAGAAAGGTCGGGTTACCCACAAAGAGAAGCCCATCAGACTAACAGCAGCTCTCTCAGCAGAAACTCTACAAGCCAGAAGAGAGTGGGGGCCAATATTCAACATTCTTAAAGAAAAGAATTTTCAACCCAGAATTTCATATCCAGCCAAACTAAGCTTCATAAGTGAAGGAGAAAAAAAATCCTTTACAGACAAGCAAATGCTCAGAGATTTTGTCATCACCAGGCCTGCCCTAAAAGAGCTCCTGAAGGAAGCACTAAACATGGAAAGGAACAACTGGTACCAGCCACTCCAAAATCATGCCAAAATGTAAAGCCCATCAAGACTAGGAAGAAACTGCATCAAATAATGAGCAAAGTAACCAGCTAATATCATAATGACAGGATCAAATTCACACATAACAATATTAACTTTAAATGTAAATGGACTAAATACTCCAATTAAAAGACACAGACTGGCAAATTGGATAAAGAGTCAAGACCCATCAGTGTTCTGTATTCAGGAAACCCATCTCACATGCAGAGACACACATAGGCTCAAAATAAAAGGATGGAGGAAGATCTGCCAAGCAAATGGAAAACAAAAAAAGGCAGGGGTTGCAATCCTAGTCTCTGATAAAACAGACTTTAAACCAACAAAGATCAAAAGAGACAAAGAAGGCCATTACATAATGGTAAAGGGATCAATTCAACAAGAAGAGCTAACTATCCTAAATATATATGCACCCAATACAAGAGCACCCAGATTCACAAAGCAAGTCCTTAGAGACCTACAAAGAGACTTAGACTCCCACACAATAATAATGGGAGACGTTAACACACCACTGTCAACATTAGACAGATCAACGAGACAGAAAGTTAACAAGGATATCCAGGAATTGAACTCAGCTCTGCACCAAGCGGACGTAATAGACATCTACAGAACTCTCCACCCCAAATCAACAGAATATACATTCTTTTCAGCACCACACCACACCTATTACAAAATTGACCACATACTTGGAAGTAAAGCTCTCCTCAGCAAATGTAAAAGAACAGAAATTATAATAAACAGTCTCTCAGACCACAGTGCAATCAAACTAGAACTCAGGATTAAGAAACTCACTCAAAACCACTCAACTACATGTAAACTAAACAACCTGCTCCTGAATGACTACTGGGTAAATAATGAAATGAAGGCAGAAATCAAGATGTTCTTTGAAACCAATGAGAACAAAGACACAACATACAAGAATCTCTGGGACACATTCAAAGCAGTGTGTAGAGGGAAATTTATAGCACTAAATGCCCACAAGAGAAAGCAGGAAAGATCTAAAATTGACACCCTAACATAACAACTAAAAGAACTAGAAAAGCAAGAGCAAACACATTCAAAAGCTAACAGAAGGCAAGAAATAACTACGATCAGAGCAGAACTGAACGAAATAGAGACACAAAAAGCCCTTCAAAAAATTAATGAATCCAGGAGCTGTTTTTTTGAAAAGATCAACAAAATTGATCGACGGCTAACAAGACTAATAAAGAAGAAAAGAGAGAAGAATCAAATAGATGAAATAAAAAATGAGAAAGAGGATATCACCACCAATCCCACAGAAATACAAACTACCATCAGAGAATACTATAAACATGTCTATGTAAATAATCTAGAAAATCTAGATGAAATGGATGAATTCCTCAACACATACACTCTCCCAAGATTAAACCAGGAAGAAGTTGAATCTCTTAATAGACCAATAACAGGATCTGAAATTGTGGCAATAATCAATAGCTTACCAACCAAAAAAAGTCCAGGACCAGATGGATTCACAGCTGAATTCTACCAGAGGTACAAAGAGGAGCTGGTACCATTCCTTCTGAAACTATTCCAAACAACAGAAAAAGAGGGAATTCTCCCTAACTCATTTTATGAGGCCAGCATCATGCTGATACCAAAGCCTGGCAGAGACACAACAAAAAAGAAAATTTCAGGCCAATATCCCTGATGGACATTGATCCAAAAATCTTCAATAAAATACTGGCAAACCGAATCTAACAACACATCAAAAATCTTATCCACCACAATCAAGTCAGCTTCATCCCCGTGATGCAAGCCTGGCTCAACATACAGAACTCAATGAACATAATCCATCACATAAAAAGAACCAATCACAAATACCACATGATTATCTCAATAGATGCAGAAAAGGCCTTCGATAAATTCAACACACCTTCATGCTAAAAACTCCCAATTCACTAGGTATTGATGGAACATATCTCAAAATAATAAGAGCAATTTATGACAAATCCATAGCCCATATCATACTGAATGCAAAAAAGCTGGAAGCATTCCCTTTCAAAACCGGCACAAGACAAGGATGCCCTCTCTCACTACTCCTTTTCAACATTGTATTGGAAGTTCTAGCCAGGGCAATCAGCAAGAGAAAGAAATAAAGGGTATGGAAATAGAAAGAGAGGACGTCAAGTTGTCTCTGTTTGCAAATGACATGATTCTATATTTGGAAAACCCCATCATCTCAGCCCAAAAATTTCATAAGCTGATAAGCAACTTCAGCAAAGTCTCCAAATACAAAATCAATGGGCAAAAATCACAAGTATTCCTATACACTGATAATAGACAAACTGAGAGCCAAATCATGATTGAACTTCCATTCACAAGCACTACAAAGAGAATAAAGTACCTAGGAATATGGCTAAAAAGAGACGTGAAGGATTTCTTCAAGGAGAACTATAAACCACTGCCCAAGGAAATAAGAGAGGACACAAACAAATGAAAAAATATTCCATACTCACAGCTAGGAAGAATCAATATCATGAAAATGGCCACGGTGCTTAACGTAATTTATAGATTCAATGCTATTCAAATCAAGCTACCATTGACTTTCTTCTCACAACTAGAAAAACTACTTTACATTTTATATGGAAGGAAAAAAGAGCTTGTATAGCCAAGGCAACCCCAAGCAAAACAAAACAAAACAAAACAAAAAAAAGCGGCTGGAGGCATCACTCTACCTGACTTCAAACTGTACTACAAAGCTACAGTAACAAAAACAGCATGGTACTGGTACCAAGACAGATATATAGACCAATGGAACAGAACAGAGGCTTCAGAAATAACACCACACATCTACAACAATCTGATCTTTGACAAAACTGACAAAAACAAGCAACGGGAAAACTGGGAAAACTTGCTAGCTATATGCAGAAAACAGAAACTGATCCCCTTTCTTACACCTTATACAAAAATTAACTCAAGATGGATTAAAGACTTACATGTAAAACCCAAAACCATAAGAACCCTAGAAGAAAACCTAGGCAATACCAAGACATAGGGATAGGCGAAGACTTCAGGACTAAAACACCAAAAGCAATTGCAGCAAAAGCCAAAATTGACAAATGAGATCTAATTAAACTAAAGAGCTTCTGCACAGCAAAATAAACTATCATCAGAGGGAACAGGCAACCTACAGAATGGAGGAATTTTTTGCAATCTATCCCTCTGACAAAGGTCTAATATCTAGAATCTACAAGGAACTTAAATATATAAGACAAAAACAACACCATCAAAAAGTGGGCAAAGGCTATAAACAGACTCTTCTCAAAAGAATACATTTACGTGGCCAACAAACATATGAAAAAAAGCTCATCATCACTGGTCATTAGAGAAATACAAATTAAATCCACAATGAGATACCTTCTCATGCCAATTAGAATGACAATCATTAAAAAGTCAAGAAACAACAGATGCTGGAGAGGATTTGGAGAAATAGGAACACTTTTACACTGTTGATGGCAGTGCAAATTAGTTCAACCATTGTGGAAGACATTTTGGCAATTGCTCAAGGATCTAGAAGCAGAAATACCATTTGACCCAGCAATCCCATTACTGGATATATACCCAAAGGATTAAAAATCATTGTAATATAAAGACACATGCACATGTATGTTTATTGCAGCCCTATTTACAATAGCAAAGACTTGGAAACAACCCAAATGCCTACCAATGATAGGCCGAATAAATAAAATGTGTACATATACACCATGGAATACTATGCAGCCATAAAAAATGAGTTCATGTCCTTTGCAGGGATATGGATAGAAACCATCATTCTCAGCAAACTAACATAGGAACAGAAAACCAAACACTACATGTTCTCGCTCATTAGTGGGAGTTGAACAATGAGAACACATAGACACAGAGAGGGGAAAATCACATATCAGGGCCTGTCAGGGGGTCTGGGACAAGGGGACAGAAAGCATTAGGACAAATACCTAATGCATGCAGGGCTTAAAACCTAGATGATAGGTCGATGGGTGCAGCAAATCACAATGGCACATGAATACCTATGCCACAAACCTGCACGTTCTGTAAATGTATCACAGAACTTAAAGTAAAATAAATAAAAAATAAATAAAAATTTTAAAAATAAGAATAAATAAAAGTAACAGGTTAAGCAGCATCATTGTCTGGGGTAAATACTCAAAACTCATCATCTCACTCCAGGGAAACTGAAAACATGGACACACGAGAAGTGAGTTTAAGAATGGAGGTTTAATAGGGGAAAGAAAGAGAAAGGAGAATAGCTCTCATTTCTGCAGAAAGGTGCTCCCGAATGGATCTTCTAGTCCCATGGTGAAATGCACAGGGATTTATAGATGAGCTTGAGGAAACAGTGTCTGATTTATATAGGGCACAAAGGATTGGTGGAACCAGGTGTGCCATTTACATAGTGTAAGAAGAAGCTGTCTGCCCCACCTTAATTTTCAATAAGCAAATGGTTTCTCTACATGGCCAGTGCCATGTTGCTGCTTCTTTACTGCACATATGGTTGACAAAGAAAAGGAAAGAGGGGACCTCCACGTTGAATATCCATGTTGAATATACCTGGCTTCAAGGTATCCCATCCCTTTTCTTTCTTTTTTTTTTTTAATTATACTTTAAGTTCTGGGGTACATGTGCAGAATCTGCAGTTTTGTTACATGGGTATACATGTGAAACAGTGGTTTGCTGCACCCATCAACCCGTCACCTCCATTAGATATTTCTCCTAATCCTATCCCTCCCCTAGTCCACCACACCTCAACAGGCCCCAGTGTGTGATGTTCCCCTCCCTGTGTCCATGTGATCTCACTGTTCAACTCCCACTTATGAGTGAGAACAAGTGGTGTTTGGTGTTCTGTTCTTGTGTTAGTTTGCTGAAAATGATGGTTTCCAGCTTCATCCATGTCCCTGCAAAGGACATGAACTTATCTTTTTTATGGCTGTGTAGTATTCCATGGTGTATATGTGCCACATTTTCTTTATCCAGTCTAACATTGATGGATATTTGGGTTGGTTCCAAGTCTTTGCTACTGCGAATAGTGCTGCAATAAACATACGTGTGCATGTGTCTTTATAATAGAATGATTTAGAATCCTTTGGGCGTGTACCAAGTAATGGGATTGCTGGGTCAAATGGTATTTCTAGTTCTAGATCCTTGAGGAATTACTGGCACAGTTGCCAGCATTTACCTATGCAAGCTTTAGCTTGTTTATCTAGGTTTGAAGCTTGATTTTTCTGGCTGCTTTTTGTTAGCAAGGAAATGATTTGGGGGGCTGCTTTTTATTAAAACAAAACCTTACCAAGGACTTTCACCCTCACTATCTGCCTAAATAATTTCTTTCTAGCTCCTGTATCACAGGCATAACTTTATCAGAAACCTGAGAAAATTTACAGTATTTAATCATATGAAAAGTAATATACTGTGAAAATGAAACAAAAGAAAAAAGAAAGCTCTAATACATTTGATCAAATTAGGTTGCACCCCATATTTTTTCAGCTAATTTTTTTTTCTCTAGCCTTTGCTGTGTCAAGGAGCTTTGTGAAGTCGTCTTCTGATAGGACAGGTCTCTCATTTTCTGCACCAGACTTCTTTAACATCTCTTCATGGAACCCTCGAAGAAACTCAGCTAGCACTCACTCACATATGCATAACCTGGCAGTGTGAGCAATAGAAAGTGATGGTTAATGATCACGCTTTACATCCACACAACTTCCTACTGGGTCCGCATGAGCTTTAGTCCCAACAGTTATGGTGATGATTAGTTTGGTAACACATTCTTGTACTGACTTTTCTCCCTTCTTGTTTCACCCTTTCCTGTCCCCTACTCCTGTACCCTAAGAACATTTCTCAAATTAAGTTATTGCACACTAATTCTTATCTCAGGCTTTGCTTTCTGAGAAAAATAGACTATGGCAGCTTGGGCAAGTGGCACTAAAAAGCAGACCCTCAACAAGGGACTTTGGAATTTAATAATTCACTGATAACTGGCAAAAACAATCTCATTGCCAATAACACTTGAGAGGTGATAACTCCTGGTATTCAGTAAAATCACTTTGAACAAAATGGATACAATTCACACAGGGGAGAAAAGAACTGAGGTGAAAGACATGGGGAAAGTGAACCATTGCTTTACCAACAGTATAAAGATCATGGTAATTACATAGTTTATAAAGTGAAGACTTTTAGCAGTTTTAGAGAGTTTGTAAAAAGAAAAAAAGCAGGCTCAGTTTGAATAAATATCAAATCAAAATATACTATGTAAGTCAGATGTTCTTGGCAGTGTTTAAAGAAAATCGACTTCTGTAGCAGCAGCAGCTGACCACATTGAGAATTTCTTCGCAAAGCAACAGTGATGCACAGGAGACGACACTGTCCGCCTCTACTACACTTTATGCCAAATTCAGGGCCTGAAGAGCAAAATAATGGGACTCAGAGACTTGGAGTTGGAGAACAACAAATTAGAGATAGAATGACTCCTACCTGACAAATACTACAAAATTTAACTATTTGGGAAAACCTTTGTTCACAAGCTAATTCTCTTTTCCCCATGAACTTTTCTAAAGTGTGAACTGGTTGCTTTCACGGTCATTTTTAAACTTTAATATTGGATAAAATGTCTGAATTGTAGGTTGTGATAATATAAAACCAGCACTTTAAGGGGACTTACTGATTTTGATTATCACAAATGTACATGTATATATGTGTTCACTTCTTCCAAAACAAGGCACAGAATTATTGAGCTGCCTTACAGAT
Organism: Homo sapiens; assembly: GCF_000001405.40. Classification (NCBI taxonomy): domain Eukaryota; kingdom Metazoa; phylum Chordata; class Mammalia; order Primates; family Hominidae; genus Homo; species Homo sapiens. The sequence continues at coordinate 213,942 of NT_167250.2, read as the reverse complement.
GTTTGTGAAACTGAATGTGTTTGTAGAAGACAGTTAAAAATGATAATTATTCTATATAACCCTATTTTATATAAGGATGTCTCATGTTTCTCTCTTTCCTCAGAAGCCTGTAACTCTATTCATCCCATAACACTAATATGAAAACATAAGTCATTTAGCATGACCAAAAATAGGATAATGATTTTTTAAAATGTAAGCATATTGCAACTAATCATAATCAGTAACAATTAAAAGACCACAAAAATTACCAAAAATTGGCAAATAATAAAATCTCAGGAATTCTCAAGGCCCTCTTAAAAGCTACACATCAAGGAAACACTTTATGATCAAAGTAGTATGGGTTAACACAAACCTATGTGTCTTTATTGGTAAGAAGACCATCATCCAAGTCTCACAATAACCACTCTATGACCTATGGCATGAATGTATTCTAAAAATAAATTAAAATTTTGATGCTAAGGGAATTATTGGAAGAGATTGCAGCAACATTTTTATAAAATGTATCTAGATAAATGAAACATTTTTAAGAAAAATTGAATGAATATAGTGTCATAGTAGATAATATTGCTAAATCATGCATACAAACCTAAAGTAATTTACATCAAGCTTATCCTGCAACACATAGATAAAGGACTGGTATCTCTTGTATAGTGAGAGCTATTATATATCACCAACCAAAAAGACAAACAGACCAATATGAAAATAGATGAAGGATATGAATTGACAATTCACAGAAGTAAAAATGGCCAATCACATCAAAAAGATGGCTACTTGTACTAGAAAGTTGGACATTATAATTTAGTAAGTCAATAACCTTAAGTCAATGAATTTATTTTAACTTTTATTTTAAGCTCAGGGGTACATGTGCAAGTTTGTTACATAGGTAAATATGTGTCAACACCCAGGTATTAAGCCTAGTACCCACTAATTATTTTTCCTGATCCTCTCCCCCCTCCCACCTTCTACCCTCCAAGAGGCCCCAGTGTGTGTTGTTCATGTGTTCCATGTGCTCTCATCACTTAGCTTCCTGTGTGGCCATGTGTTCTCATCATTTAGCTTCCACTTGTAAGTGAGAACATGCAGCATTTGGTTGTCTGTTCCAAGACCTAATGACAGAAATACCATTTGACCCAGCAATGCCATTGCTGGGTATATACCCAAAGGAATATAATCATTCTATTATAAAGACACATGCATGTATATGTTGATTGCAACACTATTCACAATAGCAAAGACATGAAATCAACCTAAATGTCCATCAATGGTAGACTGAATAAGGAAAGTGCAGTATGTATACACCATGGATTACTATGTAGCCATAAAAAGTCAACGAATTATTTTCCCACAGGAGATTGATCAAACATAAGAATCTGAGAAAAGAGTTTGTGAGAGAGTATAAAGTGAAACAACTCTTACAAAAAAAATTAAACATACAGTTTGACTCTGCAATTCTACATCTAGTCATCTGCCATCCAGATATACTTGCACCTGAGTGCATGTATGTACAGGATGTTCCCTCCATCACTTGCCTGGCTATCAGTCAATGAACATACATACCTACCACAAAAAGTAGAAGGTATGCAGCAATTACAGAGAACAGGCATATTACAGACAATATCATGGAATGCTCTCCACATCACATTGCTAAATGAAAAAAAGTTCCAGAAAAAAAAGTATGATATTCTTCTTTGAAATAAAATTAAGAATCTGTAAATCTGTATAAACATAGAGGATTCTACTTTTAATTTTGATTCTATATACTTCATTCACTAACCTTTCACAAATTTGTTTTTATATATTAATTATATAGTTTTAAAAATTAATTAGTGAAATAAACATTGATTTGAGATAGCATGTTCTTGGGTTTTAATATAATATTATCAATCCATTAGTGCCATTTAGAAAACTTAAATTGACCAGCAATCCGGTGCTCTCTATCTGATAAATTTACAGCCTGTTTTTGGACACCTACTTGATATTTTAAATATTTATTAATAAATATATTAGAATGTTAATTAAAATTTTTAATTATGGCTAAAATTTTAGCAAACAAATTTTTAAAATTTTAATGTCTTATGTCAACATTTTATGAATTCTACAGTAGTTTAGTGATTTCTTCTAATTTTTAAGGTTATATTTGCAGTAATTTTGAGATGTGATTACAAATGCATTGGCAATCCTCTCATCAAGTCATATACCCTTCCTGTGAAATTTAGCAAATTTTGTGGCTGTCTCAAAAAAGAGAATATAGTGGAAGTGAGGAGCTTAACTTCCAAAGCTCAAAAAAATTGTTAATACATTTTCTCTGTCTGTCCTTCTGTCCTTTTCTCTGTGTTTCTGTCATTCTTTTTTCCTTTTTCTCTGTCTCTCCACTCGCTTTGGAGCCCTGTGCTATATCCACAGTCCCCAGGAGAAATATACCATTTGGTGTAGAAATACATATGTATGCCTAATAAGTCACAATTGGCCCAGCACTGCAGTAGCTTGAGACTTTTAATACTAATCACCAGATATGTGAGTGATTAACCTTCAGATGATTAGCCCAAGCTACCTTAGGACAGTAACCAACTGAGAAATGCTGTGCCATAAACACCTAATTGAGCCTGGCCAACAACCTAGAATTAAAACAGATGATGATAAAATGTTGCTGTTCTAAGCACCTTCATTTCAGAGCAGTTGGTTAAGCAGTGATAGACAACCAGAAAAATATTTTTACATATTTGAGTTATACTCCTGTAATAATATTAAAATTAATATATACCTACAAAAAAAGTGAATCTATATTACATTTTGTAACTACCTGTAACCCAGAAAGAGTAGTCAGCATAGGATGGTGGGTAAGAGCTTGCACTCTGAATCCAGATAACCTATATCATCTTTGCAAAACCATTACAGAATCATGTATAGTTAAGCAAATTACTTATCAGGTCTATGCCTCACATTCTCCTTCAGTGAAATGTAGATGAAGCAATGTCACTACCTACTTAATAGCATTGCTGAGACTAAAAGAGTTGCTGTATGTAATTGCTGTATATAGCAAAATTCAATTTGCTATAACTATTATTATTATTAAATGGATAAGTACATTTCTGCAATGAATTTGGACTTAACATAGTCCAAATCTTTTAAAATTTTAAAATTTTAAAATTTTATGTTTCAAATATAAATGATTAAAATTTCAAATATAAATTTTTAAAATTTTATATTTCAAATATAAATGATTAAAATGACAGCACTTTCTATTTCAATAATGTATTAATTGAGCACCTAAGCAAGAGAAAGCTATAAAAGGCATCCAAATAGGAAAAGAATTGAAGGTATTGTTCTTTGGTGATGATATGATTCTATACCTAGAAAATCCTAAAGACTGCCTAAAGCCTGCTAGAACTGAAAAATGACTTCAGTAATGTTTCAAGATACAAAATCCATGTACAAAAATCAATACCATTTCTATACACCAATAAAAATTCAGGCTAAGAGTCAAATCAAGAACACAATCACATTTATACCACACACACAAACAAAATATACTTAAAAATACATCTAACCAAGGAGACAAAAGTTTTCTACAAGAACTACAAAGCACTGCTGAAATAAATCATAGATGACTCAAACAAATGGTAGAGCATTTTATGCTCAGGGTTGGAAGAATCAATATCATTAAAATAACCATCCTAACCAAAGCCATCCACACATTAAATGCTATTCCTATTAAAATGCCAATGTCATTATTCACAGAATTAGAAAAAAATATTCAAAAATTTCCATAAAACCAAAAATTAGTCCAAATAGCTGAAGAATGCCTCAGCAAAGAGAACAAAGCCAGAGGCATCACATTACCCAACTTCAAACTATGTTATAAGGCTGCAGACACCAAAACAGCATGGTTCTGTTACAAAAACAGACACATAAATCAATGAAACAGAATACAGAGCCCAGAAATACAGCAACAGACCTATAGTCATCTATCACTGAGTCAACAAAAATAAGCAATGGAGAAAAGGACTCCCTATTCAATAAATGATGGTGGGATAGCTTGCTAGCCATAAGAAAAAGAATGAAACTGGATCTCTACTTTTCACCAAGCAAAAATTAACCCAAGATGAATTAAATGTTTAAATATAAGACCTAAAGCTATAAGACTTATTGAAGAAAATCTAGGAAATACCATTCTAGACATCAGCCTTGGGAAAGAATTTATAACTAAGTCCTTAATAACAATTGCAACAAAACTCAAAATTCACAAGTGAGATGTAAACTGAAGAAATATTAGCAAACTACACATCTGTTAAAGGTCTAATATCTAGAATCTATAAGAAACTTGAATAATTCAACAAGCAAAAATCAAGTAACCCCGTGAAAAACCGGGCAAAAGATGTGAACAGGTACTTCTCAAAAGAAGACATACAAGGAACCAACAAACGTGACAAAAATGCTCAACATCACTAATCATCATAGAAATGCAAATCAAAACCACAATGAGACCATCTCACACTAGTCATAATGGCTATTACTAAAAAGTATAAATTAATAATAATACCACATGCTAGTGAGGATCCAGAGAAAAGGAAATGCTTATATACTGTTGGTGGATTGCAAATTAGTTGAATTACTGTGGAAAGCAGTTTAGAGATTTCTCAAAAAAAAGGTAAAACAGAAGCACCATTCCACATAACAAACAAACTCACCTATTCTAAATAAAATGGAAATACAAATTAATTTATTAACTCATTATTAACATAATTAAACATAAATCATCTGACTCACTAAAAATCTATACTATTTTATTAAAATTGCATTGAATATATAGAATATATTGAATATATAGTAATACAGAAATATATAGAAATATATATTGAATATATAGAAAGGTTAAAGGAAAAAATGAACCTGCAGAGATCAGAATAGGTTCTATAAAGCCTCAGATGGTAAATATTTTTGGAATTTGCAAACCCTTTAGACTCTTGTTCCTACTCAACTCTTCCACTGTAGTACAAAAGCAGCCACAGACAATAAGGTAAACTCTGTAAAAGTAAACAAAATCAACAAACTGTTAGCTAGACTAAGTTGGAAAAAGTGAGAACAGACCCACTAAATAAAATCAGAAGTGAAAGAGGAGACAAAAAACTGAGATTACAGAAACACAAATTATTACAGAATATTATGAACAACTATATACCAACAAATTGGAAAACCTAGATGATATTAATAAATTCCTGGACACATACAACCAACCAAGATAGACCCATGAAGAAATAAAAAACCTGAACAAACTAATAACAAGTAACAAGATTGAAGCTGTAAGGAAAAAGTCTCCCATAAAAGAAAAGCCAGTGTCTGATGGCTTCCAGTGAAATATTATTTAGAAAAAAATAGTGGGGTAATAACTGGAAATGGTAGAGTAGAAAATATCAAAGCTCTATACTTCTATCAAATATTTAAAATAATTAATCCTCCAAAAAATAAAAGAGGAGAAAACATAACCACCATTCAGTAAGCCCTTATGCTAAAAACCACACAATGGCTTCAAGTCCTGTCTTTTATATACCTGCAAATATAAAATGTTAATTTATACTCTCAGGGTAAAAGTCAAGAGAACTCTGTTTTAGGACCTTGTGATTTTCCTTGTGAGTAAATTGGGAAGGAGGCCCTCTGGAGAGGTATGTGGCCTTCTATTTTTGCATTTATCTGTTTAGGAACAAAATGGGAGCCAGTTTTACATGGTTTGTTTCCCAAGATTAACTTTTCTCTTTGACATAGTGAGTTTAATGTCTCAAGATTTTTACTTTCCTTTCGCACTAGCAAAGAAAATTCAGGAACATACGAAAAGCTTAAATGCCATAAACAAATGAATTTTATTCCAGGAATGCAAAGTTATGTTAACATCTGAAAAAGCCAACTAGTATATCATATCATTAGAATAAAGGAAAAAACTGCATAATCACTTCAATAACTGCAGAAAAACTTATTTAATGAAATTCAATACTCTTCATCATAAGAACACTTAAACTAGAAGTAAAGGAGAACATCTTAAAACTGATCAATAGTATCTATAAAAAAATACACAGCTGCTACTCGGGAGGCTGAGGCAGGAAAATGGCGTGAACCCGGGAAGCGGAAGCCGAGATTGCGCCACTGCAGTCCGCAGTCCGGCCTGGGCGACAGAGCGAGACTCCGTCTCAAAAAAAAAAAAAAAAAAAAAATACACAGCTAACATCACACTAAATTGACTCTTCTCACTTCCACTCAATATTGCAGTAGAAATTTCAGTCAACAAATAAGAAAGAAAATGAAATAAAAGGAATCCACATTAGAAAGAAAGAAGTTAAACTATCTCTATTGGCATATATAATGATCTTGTAATAGGAAATTTTTACAAATCCACTAAAAAATATTCAAGTAAACCAATAAAACAAGATTTTGGGATCCAAGATAAGAAAACAAAAAATCTACAAAATTGCAATGGAAATTTAAACTAAAATGAAGATTAAACAATCACCCTTATAATACCATGAAAAAATATAATTCTTAGTAATAAGTTTAACAAAAAATTGTACAACTCTCACTGTGAAATTATTACTAGTGGTGGTTACTGCAGCAAATTTTTGTGGTTCTGCAGCAACCTGAATTCTTGCCTCCTCAGAAGAAAGAATTTGATTGAGGGGCACAAGGCAAAAAAAGAGACCGGGACAAGTTTCAGAACAAAAGTGAAAATTTATTAAAAAGGTTTATAGCAGGAAAGAAAGGAAAGTACACTTGGGGTATATCCAAGTGGCCATTTTGAAGGTAAAGTGCAGTGTTTGACCTTTGACTTAGGGTTTTATATGTTGGCATACTTCCAGGATCCTGCTTCCATTTTCCTTGATTCTTTCCTTAGGGTGACCTGCTGGTATGTGTGATGGCCTGCTAGCACTTAGGAGATGAGTATGCACAGTATGTTTACTGGAGTCATATGAATGCTCCCCTGAGGCATTCTTCCCTTTTCTGGTGCCACCGGAATGTCTTACTCCACCATTTGGCCTCTTAATGTGCATGCGTGAGCCCACTCACCCAACTCCTGAGATCTTATCAGGAAGCTGCTGATTACCAGATTTGATTTTTTCTATTTATAGGAAAGCTGCCTTTCTCTGGCTGGCTGCAACCAATTATTATTTTAGCGAGACAGTGTGACAACTGCCTGACCATTAACTGATGGTCATCTGACTTTCCTGGTAGGGTGTGGGAGCCGTCTTCTGCCCTGTTTGTGTCTGACTAGCTAGCCACTGTAACAAAATCTACAAAACGCTGTGGAAATAAGAACATCTAAATAAATAGAAAGGCATCACATCTTCATTTATTGAAAGACCTAATATTGTGATAATTACCATACTCTACTCCCCAAATTCATATACCAAATCAATGCAATCCCTATCAAAATCCCAGATCACTTCTTTGCATAAACAGACAAGCTGATTCTGAAATTTATACATATTCAAGAGACATACTAATAGCCAAAAGAAGCTAGGTGTAGTGAAACACATCTGTAAATCCAGCTACTCAAGAGGCTGTGTTGGGAGGATTGCTTGAGCCCAGAAATTTGAATCTAGTCTGGGCAATATAGTAACACCTCTACCTCTTAAAGAAAAAAAGCAAGAAGAAAAAAATTTTTTAAAAAACTGAAACAATTTAAAATAAAAATGAGCTGGAAAACTTACATTTCCTGCTTTTAAAGACAAATACAAATATACAATAATCAAGAGAGTGTGATACAGGCCTACAGATAGACATGTAGATCAATGGAATGGATTTTAGAATATAGAAATACACCCATGCATTTAAAGTTTTTGACAAAAGTTTCAAAACTATTTAAGGGGGAAAGAATAGATTATTCAACAAATATAAGTGGGAATAATGATTATCCATATACAAAATAATTGAGTTGGGACCCTCTACCTCAAATCACTTACAAAAGCTAATTCAAAGGTGATCAAAAACTTAAATGTAAGCACTAGAACTATAAAACTCTAATAATAAATAACAGGTACTAATTTTTGTAACTTGGAAATGGTTTGTGAGATATAAAATCAAAAATAAAAGCAACCAAATTAAAATTGATTAGTTGGACTTCATCAAAATCAATACTTTTGTGCTTCAATGAACACCGTTAAGAAAGTAAAAGGACAGCCCAAAGAATAAAAAAAAAACAAGGAAATCATATATGTGATAAGGTTCTTATATCAGAAAGATATTAAAAACACAAGTCCATAAGAAGACAAATAATTCAACCAAAATTAGGCAAAACATGCTCAACATGATTTCATATCAAAGAAAGGTAAAGCATAACCAGATATCACTTCATTCACACTGGCTATAATCAAACGAAATATAATCCCAAGTGTTGGCAAGGTTGGGAAGAAATTAAAATTCTTATACATTGCTGGTGAGAATGGAAATTGAAGCATCCACTGTGAAAAACAATCTGGAAATTCCTATGGTAATTTAGAAATTATATGGTAACAGACAATTCCTATGGTAATTTAGAAATTATATGGTAACTACTACTTTGAATTGTAGCAGTTATACTTTCACTTGATTGATTTATCTTCAGATATAAGTAGGAGAAAAACAGAAAGAAACAGCGATTTGAAAAGAAGCATTGCATTGCACCAGGAGAACTATGAAATCGATGTCAAATATTCTCCTGATACAACTCAGTTGTCACTTTAGTTCTGGGAGTTGTGGAAAGGTGCTAGTGTGGCCCACAGAATACAGCCATTGGATGAATATAAAGACAATCCTGGATGAACTTGTTTGGAGAGGCCATAAGATGACTGTGCTGTCATCTTTGGCTTCCATTATTATTCACCCTAGTAAATCATCTGCTATTAGATTTGAGGTTTATCCAACATCTCTAATTAAAAATAATTTTGAGGGTCTTGTTGTGAAACTGATCAATAGATGGATATACGATCTTCAGAAAGATGCATTTTGGTCATATTTCTCACAAGCACAAGAACTCTTTTGGGAATCTACAGACTGTGTTAATAATCTCTGTAAAGATGTAGTTTTGAACAAGAAAATTACGACAAAACTACAAGAGTCAATGTTTGATGTCGTTCTTGCAGATGCCCTTGGTGCCTGTGGTGAACTGCTAGCTGAGCATGTTAAAGGCATGTTAAATACATGTCCTTTGTTGACAGTCTCCTGGCTACACACTTGAGAAGTATAGTGGAGGACTTCTATTCCCCACTTCCCGCATACCTGCTGTTCTGTCTGAATTAAGTGGTAAAATGACATTCGTGGAGAGGATTAAAAATTTAATACATGTGCTTTATTTTGACTTTTGGTTTCAAATGTTTGATACGAGAAGTGGGAGAAGTTTTACAGTGAAGTTCTAGGTAAGTCATGTTTCTAATCAATGGTTAATAAGTTCTAACTTTCCTTTTGCCTTTGAAGGTGAGCGTATATAAATATAATGTAAGAAGATAGTGTTGTTTAAATGAAATGATGAATGGCAAATGTAAGATGATCTATCAATCTCACAAATATTATAGAAATGTTGATATTATAGGCTCAGCTAGAACCCTTTGGCCATCGCTCCTATAGGACACTACAGGAATTAAAAAAAAAAAACTACAAAGTAAAGCACTTATGATTTCTTTAAGCAACTATATAAGTATTTTACTATACTTTTTTCATCTTTAAAAAAGGCAATACATATATCAATAAACAACTTGATGAAGGCAGACATTTAGATGAGGAGCTACACATATTTCTAGCATAACTATTAATGCAGCATTGAGAAAATTGTTTCTCTTTGTGTACCTCACTTTTCTTATTTAGGTATTAAAATATTTTTCTCTATAAACAGAAGGATTCCTTCACAGTTGAGAGGTATACTGGCTCTATTTCAGAAACAGAAACCTAAAATTTGAGGTTTCTAGTGTTTGTTCATAGTTCACTAACAACTTGGAAATTATTTGCTTTGTGAACTGAAACCTTGTTGAAAGTGAACATTCAAGCTTTTAATCTATATTTTATTGAACTACTTCTCTTTATTAGGGAAAATATGGGCCAAGTTAAGGGGGAGCACATATCTCTGTTTCAATAAATTCTGAATATATACTAGCTATCATTTTTAAATGTATGTATTTTACAACTAATATCATTAAAATCTTAACATGAACTAGAAGCAGTAGTATGTTCAAGGATTTCAGCCATACTCTCAGAAAACTCACAGTTCACTTGGAGAACCAAGGATCAAGGGACTGACTTGATAAATTGTGGAAACTAGATTTTGTGCTTTGTAGAAAGCTGTTTTTATAAGTATAGTAAGATGAATTAATCGTGGAGCTCAAAGAGCTGTTTAAATCTATATTGGTTACTACTGCAACTTTAGAGAGGAAACAAATGCATATTTAAGTCCATAGTGGCTTATTTCAATAACTATTTGTGATTGTGAATATACTTATGTTACATTAAATATGTAATTTCCTCTTAATTATCTGAACACTTTGCTTTCCTTATATATAAGTAACATGCAATATATGAAAATTGTTATGCTTATATATAAAAAGATATGTATACATTTATTTTATTAATGTACATTATTTCAGATAATGGGGAAAGCTGAAGTGTGGCTCATTCAAACGTACTGGGATTTTGAATTTCTTTGCCCACCCTTACCAAATGTCGATTTTGTGGGGGAACTCCACTGTAAACCAGCCAAAACCCTGCCTAAGGTAAATTTACTCCTGTTTGATTTGTTTGCTTTGCATTTCAGAAGGAATGGCCAGATATGTTTTTATTCAGAGTGTTTGACTCACAGTAAGAGAAAATATGGGAGGTCGAGTAAAGTGACCTACCATTAGAAACTCATATGTTTCTATATCATCACAACTGTGTAAACTTTAGTGTCATTAAATATCAAAGAGGGATACTAAAGAGACTCTGAAAACAGGGTTGATTCAATGAAAGCCTTCATTGTGCAAAGTAAAAAAAAAGTATAAGTCATTCCTTCAAAGAATGTTTATGAAGTGATCAGCATAAACCATGGATAAGTGCTCGATTTTCAGAGAAGAAATGTAGGCACTTTCTGCTCCCTCATGCCTTACGTTGTACTTTGAAAGATAGACTATAAGCAAGTAAAAAGGAAAAGTCTAAAAGTGTTATAAGGTCACAATGCTAAGCAAACATCTAGAAGAGATCTCAAAGTCATTGGTAAAGTGAGTCCTCAGTAATGTGCAGGAATAGGTGAAAAGAAGAGGGGGAGAGGAAAACAAAAAAAGAAAAGCAGGTAGTGAAGTAAAGGCAGTTCCTAAGATTTCTAATTAGTATGCAGGAAAAAGCTGAGTAAAGTAGCAGATGTTGCTAGAGAGGTAAGTGGAAGCAATATAATTATAAGGAGATCGAAGTGTCTATTAAGGGCAATGGGGAGCTACTGCACAGAGTTAAGAAATGGAGAGATGTGATCAGATTCCCTTTCTTTAAAAAGCTCTCAATGTTGTCAATGGATTACATCACAAAAAGGCCAGATTGTGAAAAGCGTAGATCATTTAGAAGATTTTGCATGAGTTTATGCAACAGATAATGGAAAAGTGGACTAGAATGTTGATAGAGATAATTATGCCTACTTCTATAATAATGGCAATTTCTTCCTATTGTGTTGTGTTGAAAATATACTTAATACAGATAAAACACTTATAATGTCTCTCGTACATAGTGATTCAAATAGTAGTAATATTGTAATGATTTTTTATTTTTGTTATTACTATTAATAGTATCCATTAGTTAACATATGCCAGCCACTCGAGATATAATTTTTCTATTAATAGGAACAGTTTTCCAACACATCAAGGTTCTCCAGCAAAGTCCTAGAGAACAGATCCCCTGTGGACTTGTTTAAATATAGATTTTTGGGCAGTCAGATGAACAAGATGAAATGCTAACGATGTAAGGGTTAAGGCTTTTCAAGGTACACTATTCATCAACGACATAAATGTGTGCCACCAGAATATTCTCAGCCAAAGCCAATGTTTACTTGCTTTCACTCTAGCATTTAAAACTTTCGTCAGTGAGATCACAGAGGTTTATATCTTAGAGCATAAAAGGGTCAGTTTAACCTTTTAATGTTTTCTGCCTTATGCCACGCCTATAGGACACCTCAGTAAAAATCTCTGGGAAACTTGGGACTCATCATCACAGCTGCCTGACAGAGAAGCACCAAAAAAAAATGAACAATGCATGTATAATAAGATCCAAATAATGTCTACCACTTGCATCTGAAAACTACACTGAGATTTACAAAAGAATTCTGTCAGGATATAGGATGATCTTCCTTACGAAGAAACAAAAGAACCTCATATATTTTACTTTAATGTTATTCTTTTGAGACATAAGCAGAAAGCAAGCATTCCTCACTACTTTATTATATAAGCCTTAAGAGATCTTTTTGTCTACCTTCTTATAAGCAGCAACAGAAAACTGAAATCTTACTTGAGTTAAAACTCAATGTCTATGTTGAATGAAAATTGCATAGGCTCTATGTGGTAATTTCCCAAAGGACAAAGGCAGAGGTAAGACCAATGAAAATTCTATGCACTCTAACCTTATTCTCAAAAAATTTTCCCATTCACATTAGAGGAAAGTGATGGTGCCATTAGAAGGGGGAAGAGAGTAGGTGGAGAAGGAAGACAAGGGCAAGAATGACTATTAGAACAATAGTGATAAATACTAATACTAGCTGTTGTTATTCATTTGCAGAAGGTAGGTTCGAATCCAGGTCAATAGTTGTGCAGCCTGTCCTCTACTTCTTTCTTACATAAAATAATTTTTGTCACAAATTTTCTTGCTTTTCCATTATGTATTAGATTCTCAGATAATGATTGCATATTTTAAAAGAATCAGACACTTGGGGAAAAGTATTAAGTATTATAAAAATGCATATAGACATTGGCTTCATAATATACTCATATGAAACTATACAGAGAACACCTAAATCACGATGGTCAGATTCAATATTTGTGGCAGACATTCATAAAATAAACACTGGAGACAATTCAAATATTTTACATTGAGAAATGATTTAAAATGTATACAATGTGTGTACCATGTCATTACAATTGTTTTATCAAAAAATGTTAAATTACACTGTCAGCCATAGTACAGGTATTGTTGAATACTACGGAACAAAATGATGAACAGAAAAATATCACAATTTTTGTGTCAGAAGAAAAGATACATGCAATGAGATAAAAAATTTTTATGTAAACATAATATATGTACTTTGAGTTATATAAATAGAATAAAACCATAATGAAAGCACACAGATTTTATAAATGAAATTTATTTTTTCCTAAATTTTCATAATTTCACCAAATTTCTTACATTGATTTTATATTATTCTGATAAAGATGTCGCAGAATGAGATCAGTGATGAATCTATTAACAGCCATTTCATTACTTCAATATTGGGTGGATGAAGAAGACTCTAAGCAGTGAGCTTGTGAGACCAAACATTGAACATGTCATATTAAATGTGGCTACAGATAACTTCAATTACACAGAGTACTCAGGTGTCCCAGAATCACCTGGAATAATAGTGTAATGACTGCTATTAAAACTGATGTCATAAGGTTAAAATTATGTTGTTGAAAAATACTTGTCAATAGATGATCTGCATGGACAAAGTCAGATTTTTACTTTTGTAAACAATAGTTTTAAAAAGAATGTTTACCCCGATGATTAGGATCTGAAAGTATGTTTGCATTAGAAAGGGAACACCATTATTTTACAGAGAGATAAAAAAAGCATTTTTAAAAAAGGAACAGCAGCAAAATGATAAGCACATAATTTTGACATAATATTCACAAAACGTTTGACTTTATGTTTCTTTCTTAAGATTTTTTTTAAAAAAAAACTTATAGTTTAGGTTCAGGGGTAAAAGTGCAGGCTTCTAATATAGGTGATCTCCTGTCATGGGAGTTTGTTGTGCAGACTATTTCATCACCCAGGTACAAAGCCTAGGACCCAATAGTTATTTTTTCTGATCCTATTCTTCTCCCCAACCCTCCACCCTCAAGTAGACCCCAGTGTCTGTTGTCTCTTTGCATCCATGTGTTCTCATCAGTTAGCTCCCCCTCATAAGTGAGTACATGCAGCATTTGGTTTTCTGTTCCTGTGTTAGTTTGCTAAGGATGATGGTCTCCAGTTCCATCCATGTTCCTGCAAAGGACATGATCTCATTCTTTTTTATGGCTGCATAGCATCCCATGGTGTATATGTACCACATATTCTTTATCCAGTCTACCATTGATGGGCATTTAGGTTGATTCCATGTCTTTGCTATTGTGAACAGTGCTGCAATGAACATAAATGTACATGTGTCTTTATGGTAGAATGATATATATTCCTTTGGGCATATATCCAGTAACAGGACTGCTGGGTCAAATGGTAGTTCTGCTTTTAGCTTTTTGAGTAATCACCACACCTCTTTCCACAATGGTTGAACTAATTTACGCTCCCACCAACAGTGTATAAGTGTTCCCTTTGCTCTGCAACCTCACCAGTATCTGCTATTTTTTGACTAATTATAGCCACTCTAACTTGTGTGAAATAGTATCTCACTGTGGTTTTGATTTGCATTTATCTAATGATCAGTGGTATCTCACTGTGGTTTCAATTTGCATTTCCCTAATGATCAGTGATATTGATCTTTTTGTTCATATGCTTGTTGACTGCTTGTATATCTTCCTTTGTAACATGTCTATAGTGAAGAACCAAGATGGCCAAATAGGAACAGCTCTGGTCTGCAGCTCCCAGCATGATCAATGCAGAAGATGGGTGATTTCTGCATTTTCAACTGAGGTACCTGGTTCATCCTACTGGGACTGGTTGGGCAGTGGGTGCAGCCCACAGAAGGCAAGCTGAAGCAGGGTGGGGCATCACCTCACCCTGGAAGTGCAAGGGGTTGGGGGATTTCCATTTCCTAGCCAGGGGAAGCCATGACAGACTCTACCAGGAAAATTGGGACACTCCCACCTTTTCCAATGGTCTCAGCAAACAGCACACCAGGAGATTATATCCCGGCCCTGGCTCAGCGGGTCCCATGCCCACAGAGCCTTGCTCACTGCTAGCACAGCAGTCTGAGATAGAACTGCAAGGTGGCAGACTGGCTGTGGGAGGGGCATTCGCCATTGCTGAGGCTTGAGTAGGTAAACAAAGCAGCCAGGAAGCTTGAACTGGGTGGAGCCCACTGCAGCTCAAGGAGCCCTGCCTACCTCTGTAGACTCCACCTCTGGTGGCAGGTCATAGCTGAACAAAAGGCAGCAGAAACTACTGCAGGAGCTCCTGTAGGGCAGGACTGGTGGTGACAAAAATCTCTCAGTATTTCCTTTTCTGTAAAGGATTTTATTTCTCCTTCGCTTAGGAAACTTAGTTTGTCTGGATATGAAATTCTGGGTTGAAAATTTTTTTAAGAATGTTGAATATTGGCCCCCACTCTCTTCTGGCTTGTAGGGTTTCTGCAGAGAGATCTGCTGTTAGTCTGATTGGCTTCCCTTTGTGGGTAACCCAACGTTTCTCTCTGGCTGCCCTTAACATTTTTTTCCTTCACTTCAACCTTGGTGAATCTGACAATTATGTGTCTTGGGGTTGCTCTTCTCCAGGAATATCTTTGTGGTGATCTCTGTATTTCCTGAATTTGAATGTTGGCCTGCCTTGCTAGGTTGGGAAAGTTCTCCTGGATAATATCCTGAAGAGTGTTTTCCAACTTGGTTCCATTCTCTCCATCACTTTCAGGTACACCAATCACACATAGATTTGGTCTTTTCACATAGTCCTATATTTCTTGGATGCTTTGTTCTTTTCTTTTCACTCTTTTTGCTCTAATCTTGTCTTCTTGCTTTATTTCATTGAGTTGATCTTCAATCTCTGATATCCTTTCTTCTGCTTGATTGGTTCAGCTATTGATACTTGCGTATGCTTCATGAAGTTCTCCTGCTGTGTTTTTCAGCTCTATCAGGTCATTTATGCTCTTCTCTAAACTGTTTATTCTAGTTAGCAATTCATCTAACCTTTTTTCAAGGTTCTTAGCTTCCTTGCATTGGGTTAGAACATGCTCCTTTAGCTCGGAGGAGTTTGTTATTACCCACCTTCTGAAGCCTACTTCTGTCAATTCATCAAACTCATTCTCCATCCCATTTTGTTCCCTTGCTGGTGAGGAGTTGTGATCCTTTGGAGGAGAGGAGGCATTCTGGTTTTTGGATTTTCAGCCTTTTTGCACTTGTTTCTCCCCATCTTCGTGGATTTATCTACCTTTGGTCTTTGAAGTCAGTGACTTTCCGATGGGGTCTCTGAGTGGACATCCTTTTTGTTGATGTCGATACTATTCCTTTCTGTTTGTTAGTTTTCCCTCTAACATTCAGGGCCCTCTGCTGCAGGTCTGCTGGAGTTTGCTGGAGGTCCACTCCAGAACCTGTTTGCCTGGCTATCACTAGCGGAGGCTACAGAACAGCAAAAATTGCTGCTTGTTCCTTCCTCTGGAAGCTTTGTCCCAGAGGAGCACCCACCAGATGTCAGCCAGAGCTCTCCTGTATGAGGTGTCTGTCGGCCTCTACTGGGAGGTGTCTCCCAGTCAGGATACACGGGGGTCAGTGACCCACTTGAGGAGGCAGGCTGTCCCTTATCAGAGCTTGAACGCTGTGCTGGGAGATCCACTGCTGTCTTCAGAGCTGCCAGGTAGGAACATTTAAGTCTGCTGAAGCTGTGCCCACAACCACCCCTTCCCCCAGCTGCTCTGTCCCAGGAGGTGGGGGTTTTATCTATAAGTCCCTGACTGGGGCTGCTGCCTTTTTTTCAGAGATGTTCTGCCCAGAGAGGAGGGAATCTAGAGAGTCAGTCTGGCCACAGTGGCCTTGCTGAGCTGTGGTGGGCTCTTAGTTTTTAACCAAAAAGTTTAAAGGTAAAAAATAATAAATTATTAAAATATTTTAAAAAGCTTATAGAATAAGGGTATAAAGAAAAAATATTTTTGTATGGCTGAAAAATATGTTTGTTTTTAAGCTAAGTGCTATTATAAAAGAGTCAAAAAGTAAAAGAAATTTAAAGTTTATAAATTAAAAGGGTTACAGTAAGCTAAAGTTAATTTTTCATTGAAGAGGGAAAATTGTTTACAAATTTAGTGTAGCCTAAGTGCATGGTGTTTATAAAGTCTACGGTAGTGTATAATAATGTCCTATGCCTTCACATTCATTCACCACTCACTCACTGACTCACCCAGAGCAACTTCTAGCCCTGAAAACTCCATTCATGATAAGAATTTTAACAGGTATACCATTTTTTAATTTTTTAGATGATTGTATTTGTACAGTAACTTTTCTACGTATAGTTATGTTTAAATACACAAATGCTTCCCACTGTGTTACAATTCCCTGTAGTATTCAGTATAGTAATATGCTGTACAGGTTGTAAGTTAGGAGCAATAGATTATGCCATACAGCCTAGGTGTGTAGTAGGCTACACCCTGTAGATTTATGTAAGTACACTGTATGATGTTCACACAACAA
Organism: Homo sapiens; assembly: GCF_000001405.40. Taxonomy (NCBI): domain Eukaryota; kingdom Metazoa; phylum Chordata; class Mammalia; order Primates; family Hominidae; genus Homo; species Homo sapiens. The sequence continues at coordinate 196,399 of NT_167250.2, read as the reverse complement.
AATCATGTAACAATGCAGTTCATATATCCCTGTTGTTAAGCAATGCATGACTGTATATAATATTCTCAAGTACATTAACATTTTCCAAGATAGGCCATTGCTAGGCCGTGTCTCTCAATAAAAGTACTGAAATCATACGAAGTGTGTCCTTTGAACATAATGGAATTGTGTTAGAACTCTTGAGTCTGTATGACTGTGTCTTTTAGAGATTTGTTCATTTCATCTAAGTTATTATAATTTGTTGACATACCAGTGCTCCTAATATACAATTATAATTCTTTTATTTCTGTATGATTGGTAATAATGTCTTTACTATTATATCTGACTTTATTATTAAAATGTGAATCATCTCCTTTATGGGAGTTCAGTCTAGTTAAAAGATTAGTCATTTATCTGACATTTTGAAAAAGTGCAATTTTGGTTTTGCTGATTTGCTTGTTTTTTACACACTATTTTGGTTATCTCAGCAGTGATTAATTGAAATATTCAGTAGAAACCATACTTTAAGTACCATACAACCATTCTGTTTTTCACTTTTGGTACAGAAATACTTGCATTCTCATGTTTATTGTAGCATTATTCACAATAGCCAAAATATAGAATCAACCTACATGTCCATTGGTGGAAGAATAAAGAAATACACACATTGGAATATGATACAGCTTTAAAAACGAAGGGAATCGTGTCATTTGTGACAACATAGATGAATCTGGAGGATATTATGTTAAGTGAAATAAGCCAAACACAGAGTGCTGATTACTACATGATCTCACTTATATGTGGAATCTAAGAAAGCTGAACTAATAGAAGCAGAGAGTAAAATGGTGGTTGCTAGAGGCTGGAGTGTGGTAGAAATGAGAAGATATTGATTAAAAGGTACAAAGTTTCAGTTATATAGAAGAAATAAGTTCTGGAGGCCTATTTACAGCATGGAGACTACAGTTAATAATAATGTATTGAGTATTTTTAAATTGTTAAAAGTAGATATTGCTGAATAGATATTAAATGTTCTTTTAAAAAATAGTAAGTATTGAGGTAATGAATATATTAATTAGCTTGATTAAATAATTTCACAATGTATACATATATCAAAACATCAAATTTTACACTGTAACTATATACAATTTTTATTAGCCAATTATACTTTAATAAAATTGGGGGAAATTAATTAGTTTTTAAAAACAGTAAGTGGAGAGTTAAATTTTACCAGGATCATAGTAAAAAGCAAGTGTCACAGAGTGGTGGAGCAAGAGAACAAGCAGGTGAGGGGTATATGCAAGGCAGTGAGTACTGTGATTGTAAAATTTAAGCTGACTACATCTACGCCAAAGAGGTACTGATTATTGTGTTAGGGACAATTAAGAGAGAACTTCTGATTACATTTCACAGGTCTCTGTCTTTCACTCCACCTTGAGTTATATAATAAAAATTACATTAGGACAAATTATAGAATCATAGTTATAAAAAGTAAGAGCAACAAATATTTATTGATTGTGCTCCTAAACTGGAATCCATTCCACAAATACAGTAGAAGCTGATACAGATGTGTCAGAAAACTCTTAAATATAACATGTATCAGAAACTAAATTCAGATATAAAGAGAGATTCTCCATATCAACCATGTCTTTAGTCTATGTTTGATTGTGTACCCTGTGGAAAGGTGAAAAACAGACTTTATATCAACCAACATAAGATACATGGAAGTGCCATGGTAGAGTCCATGCAGAATTACAGAAATTGAGCAGTAATACCTTCATGAAGGAAATACTGTTCATTCTTTTCTACCCAAAGCCATTTCTTCTTTTTTATTTCATGTATATTTATTTGTTTGCTTTTATTACTCTTTATTTTTATTTAATAAATCTTTATAGAACAACTGCCATAAACAATATTATAGTTTCCTGTGAACTGTGAAGGATATAAAAATGAACCAGTTACTGTCCCCACCCTCATGGAGTTTACAGTCTAGTTGTTGAAATCACATCTATCTGCACATCTGAAATACACAGGTAGATATTCTAAGTACAGAGAGTTTTACAAGTAGTAAGGAGCCATGTGAAAAGAATATGGCCGTTTCTTAAAAATCTAAACATGTACTTACCGTATGACCCAGCATACTCTAGGCCATAAATCTCAGAAAAATAAAACTTATGTCCACACAAAAGCTTACACACAAATCTTCATAGCAGCTTTATTTGTAATAGCCAAAACCTGAGAACAATCCAAATGCCCTTCAGTGGGTATACAGTTAACAAACTGAGGTACAGCCCTATCATGTAATACTACTCAGTAATAAAAAAAGAATTAACTACTGACACACACAACAACTTGGACAGATCTCAAGAAAATTATACTGAGCGAAAAAGCCAACCTGAAAAAGTTACTTATTGTATAATATATTTATATACCATTCTTGAAACAATAAAAATTATAAAGATGGAGAGCAGATTAGTGGTTGCCAGGGATTAGAGACTAGACACAGGCCTAGGGAGGGAGCTGGATGGCTGTCGGTAGCGTGATGTAGCCTTGTGAACAAACTATCTGTATCTTGGTAATCACATGAATCTACATATGTAATTAAATTACATAGAACTAATTACACACACACCTACACACACATATATAATTGATTGCATCCTAATAAAGTTAATGGATTGTCTCAATGTCAACTTCTTCATTGTAATATTATACTACACCTAAGCAAGATCTTACTATTGAGGTAAACTGAGTAAAGGGTACACAGAATCTCTGTGAATTATATCTTACAGTTATATCTTAACCGTATCTGAATCAATGATTATCTGAAAATAAAAAAAATTAATGGTAAGGAAGTTCAGAAGAAACGTATAGTACATCCACTTGAGGAAGTAAAAAAAGGCTTCAGGGAAGAGGCGACATTTGAACTACACCATAGATCTTGATATAATCCAGCCACTCGGTGGTTAATAAAGTTTATCATTTTTTAAAATTGAAGTCAAAAGTTAGAATGAACCCTCACATTGACAGACCACTTTGATAAATATGTTTCGGAATTATCCCAGTAAAACTTTTTGTAGAATCAGAAATTTTTTTAACTAGCACATTTTGTTGGTCTAATTATCTTGTCATTTCAAAAAAAAAAGGTATTCAGCCTGTTATAATCAAATACCATATTTTTTAAAACAAGAGTGTAGTTTCATTATAGCAACAGTTATTATTACTATGGTCTCTTGAACACCTACTAATGTTCCAAGAACTGTGCTAAGCACTTTTTAAACATTCACAGTTTTATTTCCACAACAATCATTTGAGCAAATATCATCTCTATCTTACGGGTGAGATTATAGGCTTAGATAAATAGTAACCGGCTTAATTCACTCAGTGTAAAATCTGGGATTAATTTTAAAAATCAATGTGTAAATAATAATAAAGCTATGTTTTCTGCATAATGTAAAAATAAAAGAGTCATTCAACAACATTTATTGAAGGACTGTTATATACAGAGTACTTTACTAGTGCTGTAGGAAGAGAGATCGAAGATATAGAAGAGGAACTGCCTGCCCTCTTGAAAAAAGTAATAAATATTATCGTCACATCTTCTTAACTATCTCCAATGAAACAGTTAACACAGACATGCAGATAAAACCCTTTGGTAATTACTTTTCAAAAGAAGTTACCATTTTAGAAATGTATTACCTATTTCTCTATGTACATAAAGTTTGAACTATCGCTCATATTTTCACTTTGACCCAAACTTCTATTTCTCAAATCCTTTGTAGAAGGAAATATCAAAAGTATTTCTCTTAGGAATAAGATGTCATTGCAAAATTAAGCTTTTAAAATTTCTTCTTAATTTAAATTGCTCCAGGTGCTTTTGCAGAGGGAGTTCCTCAAATCATGCAACATAAATTTTATTTTAGTTTGGAATCAAATGTCCAGAAATTTGAAAAATACGAATAATGATGTAAATCAACACGAATTAATTTTTAAACGCCATTTGCAAAGAAAAACTGTATTCTTTTGGTTTCACGAGACTCTAATTTCAGGTACAGTTCTCATTATTACTTACAGATCTAGACATCCTTCTTGATGTCAGGCTTCCCCATAGCTTCCTACAGCTTGTGGGTGCCACCTAGAGGCCCAACTACAGAATACACTGAAACAAGAGGAATCCATTTTTAACAGAACACTGAGAGTAGTTTTAAAGGTACTTATATCCTTGCTTAAAATTCAAGGTTTTCCTCAATTTTGTTTTTTCCCAGAGCATTTTGCTAAATGAAACAAAAATAGCTTATGCAAAATATTTAGCACTATCAATTCATGTCAGTTTTCATATTTTTGCCAAGTGCCTAAATGTTATCAGTTCATACTCCAGTGTTATTCAGATCAATAAACTTAAATTTTTCGTGGCAATACTGGTTTTCAGGGTAATTATTGTACAATATAGAACTTATATGAGTAGCTATATGCAATGAGGACAGACTTGGTGAAATCTCACCATTAACATGCCGTACATCATGGTACCAGTCCTAACTTCATTACGGTCTGGATTACTTGAAAGCTGTGTCTCTAACAGCTCAGTAATAATTTACCAAAACTAAAAATCATGAAGGTGGCCAATATCATGCTTTTACTCTTCAGTTTTGTTATCCAGGCAGTTAGCCATTCAGTGTCACACTAGATGCAGCAGTGAGGCAGCTTCCAGGATATTTTCTCTATGGTATCTTTCCATCTCAGCGAAGAGGAGTCTAACAGGACCATTAACCATGTATGAACTGTAAACACAGCAGCAGGGGAAGAAAAATATCTACAATCATCTCAAAATAGAGGTCTGAGCCCCAGTTCAGTTGCATCACTAGACTGTACACTAACACCTGGATCTCATTCCCTTCAAGGATTTGCTGTTTGGGAAAGTCTTAGACGAATAAAACCTTTCCAGTCAATTGTTTGAACTCTTCGTTCCCTCCCATTCCACAACGCAATTATTTTAGTACATAAGCATGCTGATTGTTATTAAATTAATTTTCATCCTAGCCTCAAATTTTAAAAAAATTTACAATAAATTGACTAGTAACATTTTTCCCATCTTCCCCTTCTTTGTGGATTATCATATCATAATGTCAAGCAAATGGGTGATTTATATTTTATTGTTATATGTTGACATCCTCAGTAACAATGTTAAATAAATATTTGCTTTAATTTGCTTAGAACAAGTACATTGCATGAAGTTTGTATAATTATTATAGGTCACAAAAAAACAGAATCTTCTTCACATTTATCATAGTAGTTGTTTGGAAATGAAAATAAGGATATATCTTGGCTTCTTTCTGGATTTCCTTAACTTAGTTCCCATACTTCCTAAATGATGAAGTGATTGGTATTCTGCTGTCTTTGCTTGACCTTTCATAATGAATATGATCATTTCTAATATTCCACTAAGAAAAACACCTAATACTTTTCTGTGCCAATAAAATGTAGGGGATTTTTTTCTTCTTATATTTTCTTTCACTCCTTGTTCTGCACCTTGAAAATGGATATTTGCTGAAATGAGAGGAGCTGAGGAACTGAAGAAAAGGAGTGCTTCAAATTGTATATATGCATTACAAATTTATGTCAACAAGTCAAAATTCTGACAAAACTTCTAGAGAACAAATGAATACAGGCTGTAATGTAATATTGTATTATCTATTTCTCTATGTACATAAAGTTTCAACTATTGCTCACAGATGACAGAGTTGATCTGGCAGAAGCAGGATGCTTATGTGCGGAACAGAGCTGGGAAGAAAATACATGCATCAAGCAAACAGTTTATTGAGATCAGTCAAATCTAGCTGTTTTGCAAGTCTTCTCCAATTCTGTATCTCTAAAAATGGCCTCCACACCCAAAAAACAAAAAAAAATGTTATCTGTTCCATGAGGCTTTTCTCTCTTAGATACCAGTTTTTGAAGTAATCCAGTCCCGCAAGGCCGTAACTCTAGTATAAACACCAGGCTTGTTGGGTTTCGCACATTCATCTCCCCAGCTCACTATTCCAGCAAGGTACCAGATATCTCTAGCATCTGAACTAACCAGTGGTCCTCCAGAGTCACCCTAAAGGAGAAGACAGAAATTAGTAATTCATAATTCAGTTCATTACAGAGGAATTGGCTATTTTTCTAACTTAAGAATGTAATGAAAGGGGTAATTTTCAAAAGTATTCCGTGTGTTCGCATGCATAAGTGATTTTCTCCATCTATGTCAGTTATCCACCTAAAAGAGGACCTCCAATACCTTGAAAACTGATGAGATTGAAACCTTGAAACCTTGAAATACCTTGAAACCTTCAAAACAATGAGATTGAAGCCTCCATCTCTTTGAAGAACTGTACTCTTAACTTATGTGACACATCTGACAAAATAACTCCCTAATTATTTTGTCTATACTCTTTATTAGTGTAACATAACCCCCCAAAAAAGGGAGTGAAGAGTCTATTACTGATTTTAAAAAAACAAACAAACAAAAAAAAACAGACATTAGAGTCAGACACCAGGGTTTCTATCTCAAGTTTGGCCTTTCCATGCTGGCTAAGACCTTTAATTTATTTATCTGTAAATGCTCCTAATAATACCTACCTGTGATGAGTGCTATGAAGATGATGTAAGACAGTGAATGTAAAGTGCTTAGTCTAGCAAAAGGCAGAACTTAGGAAATGCATATATAAAATCACAAATTCTCATTATTTATATCCTGCAAACTCCAGAGTTTTGATTCTTTATATGGCTTGTAATAATGAGGTACTGGCTGATTATTCCTCAAGATCCTGGCGCTTCTAATTATTGACCACCCATTAAGTATTCATACTCACTCTATGAAGTTCTTAATTGATTAAAATATTATCTCATTAATTCATGTAATTCTTGTTTACAAAAAACATAGAACTAGGTTAATTTTTTCTGGGTTACTAAGAAAACTGAAACTCAGAAACATTAAGTAATTTGCCTGAGATCACGTGCTAATCAGTGGCAGACCCCGAATTTGAATCCAGAGCGATCTAATTCAGAAGCCCATGCTTTTTTCCCTACGTTATGCTAACTTCCTTGTGAATTTTCTTTTGTCCATTTAAAAAATTAACTAATATAATAGTACATTTGAAATAATACATTTGTGATTTTAAATCAACTAACCAATAAGCATTTACTGATACCCTCGTATGTAGGAGGAGATATAAAAAGAGTATTATAAACACATGGATCTTGTCCTCTAGAAACCTGCAATCTGCTTATAGAAATAAGATATGCCATATGAAGCTATTCAAAAATAAATAATTTTGATAATAAAATCCCAAGTCTATATGCAGGCAGAGAAAATCAGGATAGAGAAATAGAAGATACAAGAGAAAACAAAGCTTTAATCAGCATAAGAGACAGGAATAAATGAGTCCGAGAATAAATAATTATTTTAAAGAGATAGCAGTATACAAATAGTAAATAATATAAATAATAGTATATAAATAGCAGTAAATAGCATTACAAGCTGAAAAGTAAGGTGATGTCCAGCAAGTATCAAATAGAAAAAAATATAGAGTCTATTCTACCAGCACTAATTAGCTCACATTTGATTAGTGAATGGCAGAGTTATGTCAGTAGAAGATGGAAATTATGATGGTTTAGATATGCTTTTTTTTAGGCAAGGGAGCCAGAATAATGGGAGTGGAATTATAAACTTCAGAAGAAAAGGAAAACCCTTTCAACTCAGCTATTACACAGGCAGACACATTTGGGGCACTGTTTTAAGAAAATGCCTGAGTGCCTGTACCCAAAACTCCCTCCCCAGAGAGATGTATCCTAGCTTTGTATCAGTTTTAGGTTGCATTTCCTCTTCTGCTCAGGACTACACTTCCCTGTGTATATTGCCTTAGCACCAGCAAACCTGTGTTTCCACATTATTTTTCTTTGCATTTTTAACATGCCCTGAGTAAGCCACCAGACCTTGGGCGTTTTGCCTGCCTACACTGTGCAAGCTATTTTTAAAGGTACCAATTATTATATTTGTTAATTCTTCAGTTATAAAGTTGCATAGCTTTTGAGGGACCAGTCTGTCTCTATCTCTATTTGTCTCATTAATCCTGTTATTTTTAGTGAATGGTTTAGTGAGAAACAGAACAGGAAGTGTATTCAGAAACTTCTAAAATTGGAAGAAGCCAAACAGGAAGCCGTGGAAGTATTAAGACACAAAGAAATGAGGGAATAGATTAGGGTGTTAACAGAAATAATAGGGGCATAAGAAATAAACATAAAAGATATGGTAAAGTGGGAAAATAGTCTAGGACTTAACTGAATACATGTGGAGGAAACATAAGAGTAAAAAAAACTCTAATAGTGAACCCTAATAATATGAGCGAGAAACTTAAAAACCCAGGCAACATTTCATGATGCCTGTTGAGTTTCAAATGGCACATATACAAATTTTCATTTCCTATTAAGAACTTAAAATATATAAATAGAAATCACTTTGAAGTAGGTAGAAATGTAAGACTAAATATGGGCAAGAGTTGAATTCTGGAGACACAGGTTTGGCACTCATTAAGGTGATAGCTGAGTTCAAAGAAAAGATGGCTTCTTTGAGTGAGAATATAGACAGCAGATAAAAACTTTATCTGAGATCTGAATCTTGAGCATAGCCAGATTGAGAGAGAGAGAGAAAGATTAATCAAAGGATACAGCCAGAAATGAGTAGATGGAGGAGGAGGAAAGAAATCAGCAAATTTCAGAATTATGAAATTCAAACAAGGGATATGTCTTAAGAAAGGCAAGGTCGCCAAATACCACTGAGATGAGAAACAGTAGGAGATTCAAGGAAAAATTTTTACATATGAGGTTATTAGTGGTTTTTGTGATATTAAAATATAAAGAGCAAGGCAAGTGGTAAAAACTGTGGATGCTAGACATGAACATTTTTTAAATGGAGGCTGGGCAAGATGGCTTACACCTGTAATCCCAGCACCTTGGGAAGCTGAGGCAGGTAGATCTCCTGAGGTCAGGAGCTTGAGACCAGCCTGGAAGCTAGGAAGGAATTTTTCACCAACATGGTGAAACCTTGTCTCTACTAAAAATACAAAAATTAGTCTGGTGTGGTGGCGGTTGCCTGTAATCTCAGCTACTCAGGAGGCTGAGGCGAGAGAATAGCTTAAATCCAGAAGGTGGAGGTTGCAGTGAGCCGAGATCACACCACTGCACTCCAGCCTGGGTAACAAGCATGAAACTCCATCCCTCCCCCCCAAAAAAATGGGTGCCATGTCTTCCCAGAGATAAGAAAGTAGAATATTGTAATCATAGGGCAAATTTGGCTTCTCTTCTGTAGCTCACAAAGTTTGTAAAGCGTGTACCTCTAATATCACCATCAAAATAGTATTTTTGAATGGGGACATTTTCAGATGAAAGTATATAACATCTGGGATTAACTTCAAAATAGATTTGATATTTTGGTAGGGAAAGGGGATGAGGGGATTTTATCAGGGTATGTACGGATAACGTAAGGTTGGCCATGAGTTGTAAATTTTTGAACTAGGTGATGAGTACATGAAAGTTCATTATTTTATCCTCCCTATTTTTGCATACCATTGAAATTTTTATAATAAAAATTATAAAATAAAAGATTAAGAGGGCATACATCTGTTTCTCTGAAATTTTTAGGAAGGACATTACTATAGAGACTATAGAAACCGAGATAGTTGAATAAAGAAAATAATGGATGATCATAAATGTAAAAGTGCACGATGTTTTCAACAGTTTCAGGAAAGTTGGAGGCAAGTAGGATGATGATGATTAGGACAAAAGAAGGTCTAGCATAATATCTAAACCATCAATGATTCCATGACCGTCAAGAAGACAAATAAAATACAGGTTATTCTCATTATTCATGGTAGTCGTGTTCTGTGAAGTCACCACAAATGCTGAATTAATGACTGTTGAGTCCTTGTTCTTAGGAGAAATACAGGGTTGGTTTTCCAGGAGACTCTGGTCACATTTTTGTCAACTGCTCAAGACATAAACAGATTTCGTGTGTGTTTCTGTTTAAAGACGTTCTATTTAATATACATTGTTGATTCATTAACATTAAACTCACAGTAAACACCGCTAAAACTTATAACTAAACAAAGCTTACCAAATATACATATTTTCTCCATATGGCACATCACAACCTTCTTGCACTATACTTTGGCACTACAGTTGGGGACTATTTTAAACAGCAAAATCGCCAGCAAAGATAATAAAAATGTGAAAAATGTAGCACTATGTAGACCAAGAAAAGACACTTGTTTACAGAATGAGAACTGAAACAAAAAGGCACAGTATCACATTTTTCAACCTCAGGTAAGAATATGCTCATTGAGTAATAAGATATTTTGCCACTCTGTGCATGCTTGTGAATGATCATAAAAGTGCCTTGAGTATTGATTTGGGGGTTACAAATAAATTTTAGTGAGTAGGTGAATTTGCAAATATGGAATCTGCAAATAACAAGGATCAAGTATATTTTCAAGTCATCTTTTAAGTTGAATTCATTTCAGGAGATTGAATTACAGAATCAATTTCAATTGTTAGGAAGGAATTTTTAGTAGTGTGTGGTAATGGGACCAATCTACTTTGTTCCGTGTGTTCCTCCAGGAGCAATTAGGAAACACAGAAAAAGAAACAAAATGAAGTGAGTCTAAACTTGGGCATTTGCCAGAGTATAAACAAAGGTCAACTGAATAAAAGAATTTAATGTAGCAAACTGAACATTGCTAAAACGACTAACCCAAAGGTAAAAGTTGGGAAAGAACTATAGTGATGCCAACAGGGAATTAAATGAGGTGGAGCAAATGAAGGCAATACAGATAGTGTTCATGCGAAAGCATGAAAGGAATAACATTAAAAATTGTAAAAAAAAATCTTAGAAATTAATGGTACCATTTTATGAATACAGATTAGAAAGCACACAGAGTAACATGGAATTCTGAAGAGAACTATAGGGCTTAGAAAGCACATTAAACAAAAATTCTGTCAAATCACAAAATGAAAATTATGAAAGCATTTAGTGACACACAGAAGGAACCAGTTATTGGCCCCCTCCATGATTTTGTGAGTGATGCACATGAAGACATAGAGGTCAAAATTTTTGTATCCACCAAAGGCACAAAATTGGTGGCAATAGCCAAACACTGGAAAACAAAACCCGGCTTCAAAAATATGTAAACGCTCCAGACCAATATGGGACAGACTTACTTATTCTTTTTTCCCCAGCTAAATATGGCTAAAACAAACAAAAAAATACCTGGGCATTACAAATAAAACAAACATAAAAAGACTCTGAAAATTAGAGAGAAGACGACAGGTGGGCTCAGAAATGCAGGACAAAAGGAATGATACAAGAGTGAGCTCTCTCAATTTTTTTTTTTTTTTTTTTTTTTTTTTTGCTTCATATATCATGGACTTGGAAGAAGCCAGCAACCTGGCAACCTGCCAACAAGTGCAAGTTTTTTAAAAGGCTCCAAGAAAATCCTGCTCTCCCTAGTAAAATAATCAATAAGAGGACAACTTGGGAAAACAGCAAATCCAGGAAGACAATAAATCCCAACTGAAAAGACTTCCATGCTTACCAGGCTGTAAGAAGGCCCAATTCCCTACTAGATTGGTGTCAGAATATGCTGAATAGGCACCAGGTGCAGTGGCTCACACTCGTAATCCCAGCACGTTGGAAGGCTGAAGCAGGTGGATGACCTGAAATCAGGAGTTTCAGACCAGCCTAGCAAACATGGCAAAACGCCGTCTCTACTAAAAATACAAAAATTAGTCAGGTGTCGTGGCACATGCCTTTAATCTCAGCTACTCAGGAGGCTGAGGCAGGAGAATTGCTGGAACCTAGGAGGCAGAGGTTGCAGTGAGCCAAGATGGCACCACTGCACTCCAGCCTGGGCAACAAGCGAGACTCCACCTCAAAAAAAAAAAAAAAAAAAAAAAAAAAAGAATATGCTGAGTGGGAAGCATGAACTACCACCCAGTAATGAGGAATAACTCTCCCCATCTACTAGAACCATGTCTGAGGAGAGGTAGTGGGAAGTCAAGTCTTTCACCACTGCGAAGCAGTAATGAAATCACTACCCCATGATGTCAGTGGAGGCCAAAAGGGGAGCAGTAACAAAGTACCTTCAGCCAGAGTGTTATCAGAAGAGGCCTAACCTCCATGCAGTAGTAATGAGCATTAGTCCCTCACCTGAGCATCAAAGGAAGCTGAGTGGGAAATGAGGCAATTCCTTCATACATCCCCCTCCCTCTGCATCACAATGTCTGCTGAGGCATGGTTAAATAGAAAATTTAAATAAGATCTAGAGTTTTAAATAATAATAATTTAATTTTTTCAAATTATTATTATTTCATTATTTAATAAATACTAAAACAAAATGGCCGACCAGACGCAGACAAGAAGACCTTCTCCCAGTGAGGGACCAGACCATCAAGAAGACTGGCACACTCTGAACAAATTTTCAGAAAGAAGGCATTGAGAGTTGATGGAAGGAGAATGCAGACCCCAGGCTGAAAGGGAAGGAAGCTGGTAACCCTGCACAGGGTTGCCAAGCACCAGAACTTGTTCCTGGCCTGGAGAGGCTCCTGGGGAAGGAGTAAGTTAAATGGTCATGGAGTGGCCAACTCACACCACAGACCTCCAGAATCTTAGCTGCAGGAGACCCCTCATCCCCCATGGACAGTTAAGGTGGCAGGGAGAACAGCCTGGAGAGTTGAAAGAGACAGAATTCTAGCCTGCACAGAGTCCACAGGGTTTGGCATGAGAATGGCTACAGCAGAGCATGGCATGGGTGCCCATCCCCCAAATATCATACATCTCTAGGTGGCTTTCGCCTTTGTTGATGGACAGACCTGGACATCACAGGGCTCTCTTGCTTGTGGGATGGGAACAATCTGATCCAAGCACTCGCTTGTCTGCTGGCCTATGCCAAATTCCCTGCCTGGCTACACAAACTTGCAGCACTGCCTCAGCTGCCCAGCCAAGGCATTTTTTGACAGCCACAGCCATTGCTATTTTGATGGCAGACCCTGCCTAACAGCTGGAGAGCTCCTGAAGGCAGGTCCCTGTCAGTGAGCGCCCACCAGCATGCACTCACTGGCAGCCTCTACCTGCTGCTTTGCTGTCATGCCTTTGCCTGCAGCCTCCAGCCACTGACTCACTGGTGTATGCATGCACACTGACCCCATCACTGCCCCACCACCAGCACGCATGCCTGTGCAGGACTTGCCACTACCCCACCACCAGCACGTATGTGAGCACAAGGACCCTCACTGACCCACTGCCACCCCGCCAAAGTGCCTTTGCCAGCACAGTTTTGTTGCCAGTGGACCAGGAACACCTCATTCCTTCCAACCCAGGAGGTACTTAACCTCTAGGGGCTAGAGAAAACCGCCTCAGACCTGGTCCCAATTTCCCAAGGTTACAGCCTGGTACAGCATGCAGCCCAGGAGTGCTGAGCTAACCCTTGGACCCCTGAAATCATCCAAAAACGAATGAAATTAACTAAGCACAACTAATACCACAATCAAACCACAAAAGGCATCAAAGAATATAAAAGTAAAAAGCTCCATACAAAGGACAACAACTTCACACACACAGATGAGAAAGAACCAATGCAAGAACTCTGGTAACTCTAAAAGCAAGAGTGTCTTCTTACCTCCAAATGACTGAACTAGCTCCCCAGCAATGGTTCATAACCAGACTGAAATGACAGACATGGAATTCAGAATACAGATGTCAATGAAGATCATCAAGATTCAGGGGAAAGTTGAAACACAGTCTAAGGAACTTATGGCATCAATAAAATAACACAAGAGCTGAAAGATGAAATTGCCATTTTAAGAAAGAATCAGGGTCGGGCGCGGTGGCTCACGCCTGTAATCCCAGCACTTTGGGAGGCCGAAGGTGGGTAGATCACGAGGTCAGGAGATCGAAACCATCCTGGCTAACACGGTGAAACCCCGTCTCTATTAAAAATACAAAAAAATTAGCCGGGGGGCATGGTGGCGGGCCCCTGTAATCCCAGCTACTCAGGAGGCTGAGGCAGGAGAATGGCATTAACCCGGGAGGCGGAGCTTGCAGTGAGCCGATATCTTGCCACTGCACTCCAGCCTGGGCAACCGAGTGAGACTCTGAGAGAAAAGAAGAGAAGAGAAGAGAGAAAAGAAAAAAGGAAAGAAAAGAAGAGAAACTGATCTCCTAGAGCTGAAAAACTCACTACAAGAATTTCATAATACAATGGGCAGTATTAACAGCAGAACAGATCAAACTGAAAACAATTTTAGAACTTGAAGGCCAGTTCTTCAAATCAACTCAGTCAGATAAAGAAAAAGATATTCTTTAATGAACAAAATCTCCAAGAAATATGGAATTATATAAATATACCAAATCTACAATTCACTGGCATCCCCAAGGAAAGAGAGAGAGCAAGCAACTTGGAAAACTCATTTATGAATATCGTTCCTGAAAATTTCCCCAATCTTGCTGCAGAGGTCAACATACAAATTCAAGAAATTCAGAGAACCCCAGAGATATAATATACAAGACACCCATCCTCTAGACGCCTTGTCGTCAGATTCTCCAAGGTCAACATGAAAGAAAAAATCTTAAAAGCAGTAGAGCGAAGGGACAGGTCACATACAAAGGGGGTGATATCAGGATAACAGCAGAACCTTCAGCAGAAACCTTATAAGCCAAAAGAGATTGGGGACCTATACTCAGCCAGCATTCTTTTTTTTTTTTTTTTTTTTTTTTTGAGACAGAGTCTCACCCTTGTCACCCAGGCTGGAGCGCAATGATATGATCTCAGCTCACTGTAACCTCTGCCTCTCAGGTGAAAGCAATTCTCCTGCCTCAGCCTCCCGAATAGCTGGGATTACAGGCGCCCATTAGCATGCCTGGCTAATTTTTGTATTTTTAGTAGAGATGGGGTTTCACCATGTTGGCCAGGCTGGTATATTCAGCATTCTTAAAGAAAAAAATTCCAATCAAGAATTTCATATCCAGCCAAACTAAGCTTCATAAGCGAAGGAGAAACGGAATCTTTTTCAGACAAGCAAATGTTAAGGGAATTTATTACCACCAGACTTGCCTTGCAAAAAGTCCTTAAGAGAGTGCTAAACATGGCAACAAAAGACCATTACCTGGCTAGGCATGGTTTCTCACGCCTGTAATCCCAGCACTTTGGAAGGCCGAGGTGGGCAGATCACCTGAGGCCAGGAGTTCAAGACCAGCCTGGCCAACATAGCGAAATCCCATCTCTACTAAAAATACAAAATTAGCCAGGTGTAATGGCATGCATTTGTAATCCCAGGTACTCAGGAGGCTAAGGCAGAAGAATCGCTTGAACCCAGGAGGTAGAGTATGTAGTGAGCTCAGATCGCGCCTTTGCACTCCAGCCTGAGCAACAAGAGCAAAACGCGGTCTCAAAAAAAAAAAAAAATTCCTGACACCACAGAAAAGACAATTACATAGTCCACTGACACTATATGCAACTATACAATCAAGCCTGTGGAATAACCAGCTAGCAACATGATGGCAGGATCAAATCTTCACATATCAATATTATAACTTGAATATAAACAGGCTTAATGCCCCACTTACAAGGGACAGAGTAGCCCATTGGATAAAGAAGCAAGACCCAACTGTATGCTATCATCAGGAGACCCATCTCAAATGCAATGACACTCATAGTCTCAAAGTAAAGGCATAAGGAAAGATCTACCAAGCAAATAAAAAACAAAAAAGAACAGGGGTTGCTACTCTTATTTCAGACAAAACAGACTTTAAAACAATAATTAAAAAGGACAAAAAATGGTGTAACAAAGTGATAAAGTGTTCAATTCAACAAGAAGATTAACTATCTAAATGTATATGCATCCAACACTGGAGCATCCAGACTCAGAAAATAAGTTCTTAGAGCCTACAAAAAAGACTTAGATAAATACAAAATTATAGTGGAGATTTCAACACCCCTCTAAAGGTGTTATAAAGGCAGAAAACTAACAAAGATATTCCGAACCTAAACTCAACACTTGACCAAATGAACCTAAGAGATATCTATAGAACACTCCACCTAACAACAAGAAAATATACGTTCTTTTCATCTGCATATGTATGGCACATACTCTAAGATCAACCATGCACTTGGCCATAAAGCAATTCTAAACAAATTTTTAAAAATCATACCAATCACACTCTCAGACCACAGTGCAATAAAAATAGAAATCAATACCAAGATCTCTCAAAATTATACAATTACATGGAAATTAAACAGCCTGCTCCTGAATGTCTTTTGAGTAAAGAATGAAATTAAGACAGAAAGCAAGAAATTCTTCGAAATTAATGAAAATAAAGATACAACATGCCGGAATTTCTGGGACACAGGTAAAGCAGTATTAACAGGAAAGTTTATGGGGCAAAATGCCAACATCGAAAAGATATAAATATCTTAAATTAACAATGTAGCATCACACCTCGAGGAACTAGAAAAACAAGAGTAAGTGAACCCCTAAACTAGCACAAGACAAAAATAACCAAAATTAGAGCTGAACTGAATGAAATAGAGACACAAAAATCCATATAAAAGATCAATGAAACCAAACAACTTGTTCTTTGAAAGAATAGATAAGATTGATACACTGCTAGCAAGACTAACAAAGAAAAAAAAGAAAGAACTTTCAAATAAGCACCATCAGAAATGCCAAAGGGAAGAGAAATATTTTTTACAAAAAATTTCAAAGATGATTGTAAACACCTCTATGCACACAAACTAGAAAATCTAGAAGGAATGGATAAATTCTTGGAAACACAAACTCCCAATATTGAACCAGGAAGAAATTGAATACCTGAGAAGATAAATAATGAGTTCCAAAATTGAACCAGTAATTTTAAAAAAACAGCCAACAGGGAAGGCCCTGGAACAGAGAGATTCACAGCCAAATTCTACCAGATATATAAAGAAGAGCTGGTACCAATTATATTGAAAATACTCCCAAAATTCTAGAAAAAGAGAAGCCTCCCTAACACATTTTATGAAGGCAGTGTTTTTCTGATACCAAAACCTGGAAGAGACACAACAAAAAGAGAAAACTTCAGGACAATATCCTTGATGAACATTGATGCAAAAATCCTCAACAAAATACTTGCAAACCAAATCCAGCAGCACATCAAAAAGCTTATCCACCACAGTAATGTAGTCTTATTTTCTAGGATGCAAGGCTGGTTCAACATATGAAAATAAATAAATATGTCTGGGCACGGTGGCTCCTGCCTGTAATCCCAGCACTTTGGGAGGCCGAGATGTGTGGATCACCTGAGGTCAAGTGTTCAAGACCAGCCTGACCAACATGGCGAAACCCCATCTCTACTAAAAATACAAAAATTAGCCAGGCATGGTGGTTGGCACCTGTAATCCCAGCTACTCAGGAGGCTAAGGCAGGAGAATCACTAGAACCTGGGGGACAGAGGTTGCAGTGAGCTGAGATCGCACCACTGCACTCCAGCCTGGGTGACAAAGCGAGACTCTGTCTCAAAAAGAAAAAAAAGAAAAAAACCTTGAACTAACTAGGCATCAGAGGAACATACTTCAAAATAATAAAAGCCTTCTATGACAACCCCATAACCAACATCATAATGAATGGGCAAAAGCTAGAAGCATTCCCCTGTGAACCAGAAAAGACAAGGATGTGCAGTCTCACCACTGTTATTCAACATAGTACTGGAAGTTTTGACCAAAGCAATTAGGCAAGAGAAAGACATAAAAGGCATCCAAATAGAAGAGAGGAAGTCAAACTATCTCTCTTCACAAATGATATGATTCTACACCCAGAAAACTCCACAGTCTCTGCCCAAAGGCTCCTAGAACTGATAAACAACTTCAGTAAAGTTTCTGAATACAAAATCAATGTACTAAAATGAGGAGCACTTCTATACAACAATAACATCTTAGCCGAGAGCCAAATCAAGAGTGCAATCTCATTCACAATTGCCACAAGAAGAATAAAATACATAGACATATGGCTAACTAGGAAGGTGAAGGACCTCTACAATGAGAATTAAAAACACTGCTGAAAGAAATCATAGTTGAAGGCCAGGTACAGTGGCTGATGCCCGTAATCCCAGCAGTTTAGGAGGCAGAGGCAGGAGGATTGCTTGAGCTCAGGAGTTCAAGACCAGCATGAGCAACATGGCAAGACTCCATCTCTACCAAAAACCTAAAAAATTAGCCATGTGTGGTGGTGAATGCCTATAGTCCCCGCTACTCAGGAGACTGAAGTGGGAGGATCGCTTGAGCCCAGGAGTTCAAGGCTGCAGTGAACTATAGTTGTGGCACTGCACTCCAGCCTGATCAACAGGGTAAGACCTTGTCTCAAGAAAAAAAAGAAAGAAACCATAGTTGACACAAACAAATGGTAAAACAGTTTGTGTTCATGAATAGAAAGAATCAGTATTGTTAAAATGGCCATACTGCTCAAAGAAATTTACAGATTAAATGTTATTCCTATAAAACTACCAATGTCATTTTTCACAGAATTAGTAAAAACTGTTGTAATATTTATATGGAACCAAAAAAGAGCCTTAATAGCCAAAGCAATCCTAAACAAAAAAACAAAGCTGGTGGCATCACACTACCAGACTTCAAACTATACCACAAAGCTATAGTAACCAGAAGATCACGGTGCTAGTACAAAAAAAATAGACACATAGATCAATGGAACCAAATAGAGAAGCCAGAAGTAAAGCTGCATGTCTACAACCATCTCATCTTTGACAAAGCTGACCATAACAAGAAATGGGGAAAGGACTCCCTAATCAATAAATGGTGCTGGGGATAACTGGCTAGCCATATGCAAAAAATTAAAACTGAACCCCTTTCTTTCACCATATACAAAAATCAACTTGAGATGGTTGAAATACTTAAGTGTAAAACCTAAAACTATAAAAACTCTAGAAGAAAACCTAGGAACTACCATTCTGGACATCAGCCTTAACAAAGCTTTTATAACAAAGACTCTAAAAGCAATTGCAACTAAAACAAAAATTGACAACTGGGATCTAATTAAACTAAAGAGCTTCTGCACAGCAAAATAAACTATTAACAGAGTAAACAGACGACCTACAGAATAGGAAAAAATATTTGCAAACTATGCATCTGACAAAGGTCTAATATCCAGAATCTTTAAGAAATCTTAAACAAATCAACAAGCAAAAAACAAACAACTCCCTTTTAAAATGGGGAAAAAAAACATAGATACAGTTTGAATATTTGTCCCCTCTCAAATCTCATGTTGAAGTTTAATCTCCATTGCTGGAGGTGAGGCTGGTGGGAGTTGTTTGGGTAACGGATCCCTGACAGCATAGTGCTGTCTTTGCGATAGCGAGTGAACTGTCACGATATCTGGTTGTTTAAAAGTGTGTGGCACCTCCTCCCACTCTCTCTCTCTCGCTCCTGCTTTCACCACATGATGTTCCTGCTCCCCTTTCACCTCCCACCATGATTATAAGCTTCCTGATGCCTCCCTAGGAGCCAAGTTAATGCCAGCATCAGGCTTACTATAAAGTCTGAAAAGCCATGAGCCAATTAAACATCTTTTCTAATAAATTACCCGGCCTCAGATATTTCTTAATAGCAATGCAAGAACAGCCTAACACAGAAAATTGGTAACTATGAGTGTGGCATTGCTATAAAGATATTGGAAAATGTGAAAGCGACTTGGCAACTGGGTAACAGGTAAAGGATGGAAGAACTTTGAAGGCTCAGAAGACAGATATGATCAAGTCTGAAATTTCTTAGAAACTGGTTAAATGGTTGTGACCAAAATGCTGATAGTTACATCGACAGTGAAATCCAGATTGATGAGGTGGAAGGGAATTGCTTTATCTCAGATGAGACTTTGGACTTCAGACTTTTTTTTTTTCCCCAAAATGAAGTCTTTCTGTGTCACCCAAGCTGGACTGCAGTGGTGCGATCACAGCTCAATGCAGCCTAAACCTCCCACGATCAATCAATCTTCCCACCTCAGCCTCCCAAACAGCTGGAACTATAGGCATATGCCACAAAGCCCAGCTAATTTTTTTTTGTGGAGATGCAGTTTTGCCACATTACCCAGGCTGGTCTCAAACTCCTGGGCTCAAGAAATCCACCCACCTTGGCCTTCCAAAATGCTGGGATTATAGGTGTGAGCCACTGCATCTGGCCAACTTTGAATTTTTGAGTTAAAGTCGGAATGAGTTAAGACTTTCGGGGACTGTTAGGAAGGCATAATTATATTTTGCAATGTGAGAAGACATGAGATTTGGGAGAGGCCAGGAGCAGAATGATATAATTTGGATATTTATCCCTGCCCAAATCTCATGTTGCTTTGTCACCCCCAATGCTGAAGGTAGGACCTGGTGCGAGGTGTTCAGGTCATGGGAGCCAATCACTCACGGCTTGGAGTTATCTTTGCAATAGTGAGTGAGCTCTTGTGAGATCGGATTGTTTAAAAGTGTATGGCACCTCTCCTACCACTCTATCCCTCTTGCTCCTGCTTTCACCATGTGATGTACCTGCTCCCTCCCATTTCACACTTCACCTTCTGCCATGATTGTAAGCTTCCTCCCTAGAAACCGAGCAGATGCCAGCACCATGCTGCCCATAAAGCCTGCAGAATCATAAGCCAATTAAACCTTTTCTCTTTATACATTACCTAATATTGGCTTTTTGTTTACTTGGTTTTGTTAGTTTGTTTGTTTGTTTTTGGAGACAGGGTTTTGCTCTGTCACCCAAGCTGGAGTGCAGTGGGTGCAGTGCAGCCTCGACCTCTTGGGTTCAAGCAATCCTCCTGCCTCATAATTTCCAAGTAGCTGGGACTACAGGCACACACCACCACATTGGCTAATGTTTGTATTTCTAGCAGAGACAGGATTTCCCCATGTTGCCCAAGCTGGTCTTGAACTTCTGAGCTCTAGTGATCCACCTCCCTTGGCCTCCCAAAGTGCTGAGATTACCTGCATGAGCCACCATGCCCGACCCAGGTATTTTTTTATAGCAGTGTAAGAACAGCCTAATACAGACAGGAACAGACACTTCTCAAATGAAGACACACAAGCAGCCAACAAACATATGGACAAATGCTCAACATCACTAATCAGGGAAATGGGAAATTAAAAACCACAATAAGATACCATCTCAAACCAGTCAGAATGGCTATTACTAAAAAGTCAAAAAAACAACAGATGTTGTTGAGGTTGTGGAGAAAAGGGAATGCTTATACACTGCTCGTGGGAATGTAAATTAGGTCAGCCACTGTGGGAAGCAGCTTGGAGATTTCTCAAAGAAATTAAGACAGAACTACAATTTGACCCAGCAATCCCATTACTGGGTATATTATACACAAAGGAATACAAATTGTTCTGCCATAAAGACACATGTATGCATATGTTCATGGCAGCAATTGTCACAATAGTCATGGAATCAACCTAAAATGTCCATCAACAGTGGACTGGATACAGAAAATGTGGTAAATATACCCCATGGAATGCTATGGAGCCAGAAAGCAAAATGAAACCATGGTTTTTGCAGCAATATGGATGCAGCCACAGGCCATTATACTAAGCAAATGAATGCAGGAACAGAAAACCAAATACCTCATGTTCTCACTTATGAGTGGAAGCTAAACATTGAGTACATATGGACACAAAGAGAGGAACAATACATACTGGGGCTTACTTGAGGGTTGAGGGTGGGAGGAGGATGAGAACCAAAAACTACCTATTGGTTATTATGCTTACTACCTGCATGATGAAATAATTTGTACACCAAACCCCAGCAACACACAATTTACCCATGTAACAATCCTGCAGATGTAACCTCTGAACCTAAAATAAAAGTTGGAAGAAGCAAAGTAATTAATTAAATAAAATAATATAAATTTAAAAGCATGATATAACAACAACAACAAAACAGAATAAATAATAATTAGATGCTCAGCATATATCTGAATATCAGTCATCATACAATGAAATATAAAAGTTTTTACTTGAATGAGAAAAGGCAATCAACAGATACCAACACTGAGATAACACAAATGTTGAAATTATTTGACAAAGATTTTAAAGCAGCCATCATAAATACATCTCAATGAGCAATTACCATCATGTTTAAAACAAAGGAAAAGAAATAGGAAGTGTCAACAAAGAAATAGTAAATATAAAAAGAAGAAACAAAGAAAAACCCTGGAACTAAAAAATATGATAAGCAAAATTCAAAACTCACTGGATGGGCTTAACATAAGAATAGAGAAGACAGAGCAAAGAATCAGTAAACTTGAAGATACATTGAAATTACCCAATCTCAAAAACAGAGAGAAACTAGAGTGCAAAAAAAATAAACAAAAGCTTAGGAAACTCTGGGACTATAATAAAAGAGTAAACATTGCTGTGGTTAGAGTTCCAGAAGGAAAGAAGAAAGAAGGTGGGACTGAAAGAGTATTTTAAGAAATAATGACCGAAAATTTCTCAAACTTGACAAAGGATATAAATCTACATATTCAAAAAGCTGAGCAAACCTCAAACAGGATAAGCCCAAAGAAATCCATGCCAAGATACATAATCAAACTTCTGAAAACTAAAGACAAACTCTTGAACACAGCAAGAAATGACACCTCATCTATTGGAAAAAAATAATTCTAATAGCAGCAAATTCCTTGCAGAAATCACAGAGGCAATGATTTAAATGCTGAAAGAAAAGAACTGTCAGTGCTAAATTATGCTCCAGTAATGAAGAAGAAATAAAGACTGTTAGAGACAAAGAAAATCTAGGAGAATTTTTCACCAGCATACCTATACTAAAAGAGTGGCTAAAAGAAGTTCCTAAAACAGAAATGACTGTTTTTAAAAAAGGAATCAGGAAAGAGGAAAGAAGAAATCCATAGGTAAATAGTCTTTCCTTTTCCTCTTATGTTTTCTAAATTACATTTGACTGTTGAAGCAAAACATTGTCTTCTGTGGTTCTCAAAATATAAAGCAAATATTTAATATTTATATTTATTAATATTTAATGTTTATATTTGTTAATGTTTAATATTAAAGAGGGAAAAGCAAAGGGATTTAAGGGGAAGTAAGTTTTTTATTCTATACTCCACCAAAACTAGTAAAATTTCAATACACATAGACAGTGATGTTATGTATGTATATATAAATAAATATATATTTATATACACATATATATAACTTAAAGGAACCACTAAAATTTTTCTACAAAAAAAAGCCAAAAATACCAATAGATGATCCAAAATTAAATTCTGTTTAAAAAGCTACTGTTACTCTATTTATATAACATTCTGAAAATTGAAAAATTATAGAGATGGAGAATAAATTAGTGATTGCCAGATGTTAGGGATAGTAGGAGGAGGGAAAAAGGTAGGTCTTTGTGGTGATAGAATAGTTCTTCATCTTAACTGTAGTGGTGGTTACACAAATCTACAGATGTGACAAAATGCCATAGAATTAGACACATACTTTGTACGACTGTCAATTTCCCAGATCTTATATTGAACTATAGTTATGTGAGATGTAATCATTGGAGAAAACTGGGTGAGATGTTGTGACTCCTCTGTACTATCTTTGCAACTTCCTGTAGATATATAATTATTTCAAAGAAAAGTAAACAAAAAATTACACAACATACTAATGGGCAAAACTGTTTACCTGGCATGCATCTGTTTTTCCTTCTAAGGAGCCAGCACATAACATTCTAGGAGTTATGGCGTCATTGTAAGCTTGAGGTTCATTGCAAGTTGTAGCGTCTATGAGAGTCACCTGTGCTTGTCGAAGATGATTTTGACTGTAACCTAAAAGAAAAAAAAGTCTTTGTATTTGTAGACATACATATATTTTATAAACTTGAAGAAAATGTTTCATGATTAGGAATAAGATGGTGATACAGGCCAGGCACGGTGACTAACGCCAGTAATCCCAGCACTTTGAGAGGCCGAGATTGGAGGATCGCTTGAGGCCAGGAGTTCAAGACCAGCTTGGCCAACATGGTGAAATCCTGTCTCTACTAAAAATACAAAAATTAGCCGGGGGTGGTGGCATGCACCTGTAATCCCAGCTATTCAGGAGGCTGATGCAGGTAAATCTCTTGAACCCGGGAGGCAGAGGTTGCAGTGAGCCAAGATCGGGCCACTGAACTCCAGCCTGGGGGACAGAAAGAAGCCCCATCTTAAAAAAAAAAAAAAAAAAAAAAAAGCGGGGGATACCGGGTGCGGTGGCTTACACCTGTAATCCCAGCACTTTCGGAGGCCGAGAAGGGCAGATCACCTGAGGTCAAGAGTTTGAGACCAGCCTGGCCAACATGGTGAAACCCTGTCTCTACTAAAAATGGAAAAATTAGGCGGGCACCTGTAGTCCCAATCACTGGGGAGGCTGAGGCAGGAGAATCGCTTGAACCTGTGAGGTAGAGGTTGCAGTGAGCCAAGATCGCACCATTGCACTTCAGCCTGGAGACTCTGTCTCAACAAGGAGACTCTGTCTCAAAAAAAAAAAAAAAAAAAAAGATAGTGATACAGAATCTTAGACTACATATGTTTAGAACAATAATATTTGGGAAGATAATTTGTTCCTAACTACTTTGAGCAAAAAGTTGGGTGCCTAGGAAAGAACCACAAGTTATCTAAATAATGTCCACTCCATTGTTAACATTACAAGGAAATTTCAGTAGGGGAGAATGGTGGCTTTATGATTCTCCAATCTTCAGAATTGGGTATATTATTGATTGCTAATCTCTAAACTGGTTAATTCTCTAAAGAAAGTTCATGGCTAGGAGACATATTTGCTTTTTCAGACATCTTAGCAGTACTATGACTGTAGTATATAGTAGTAGCAATTTACTCGATATTAACTTAGGCAGGAAGGAATTTTTGTGCCTTCCAAGTTATTTACTTCACTTTTAGGGCCTGACTTGGTCCAGGTCATATGACCACACAACTAACATATTTTGGCATAATGGCATTTCATTGCTTAAATGCCATAAAATACCAATTTAACTTTTACTTGAGTTCCTCTTCCGACGCTCACCATCATTTTTCAGTGCTCCAAATCCTGTCACAAACATCACATCACCTGGTTGAAACTCATAGGATGCATCAGGGAGACAAACTCTATGTACTGCATTTGTGTAGGGAACAGGGCTAGAAAGCTCTGCAAGAGAAATATCATAGTCATGTGATGGGTGTTTGTATTTTTCATGGACAATTATTCTCCGGAGACCCCGTTTCATTTTCGAAGGTTTTATTGTTACTCCAAAGGAAGCAGTCCATCTGGCAGGGTTCTTATATCTGGGGAGAAAAAAATGAAGAATAAATTTCTTTTTACCATGCTACCAGTCGAATAATTTATATTAAATAATTTAGTCTACAGGTGTAGATTTTTTTTTCTTTTTATAGTTTTGATGTATAGAACTCTTTCCAATTTGATAATAAGGCTCAGGGTTCTGACCAGGTGAAAAAGCCACCATTTCCTATAATATACATGCCACTCCATATGCCAAGTCATCCACTCCAAATGCTAAGGCTTTTTGATTTTTCTGTATATTAATGACTCCAAGGGACCTATGGAAAGTACCCTGTACAGAATAAGAGAAATTAATATATTCTATGTGTCTCATGTACCCCACCCAGAAATATACACATTTCTCTGAAAACCAAAAAGTCCACACAATAATTTAACAAAGTATTATTATTTTATATACTATAGACATTTTGACAATAGATTGAAGGGTCCTCCATTTCTTGCAATATAATTAGTCAATCTATTCATTTATACAACTTGCTACTTCCAAATTCTTCATATCTTCATTACATAATTCTTCGTATTTAATTCTTTTTCTTACCATGTGAAATTTCCCCCTTAGGATCAAACCTACAACCTATCCAGACTCCATCTCTGATTAAGGTACTCAGCAGAGATAGAGCACTCCTGTTTGACAGCAAATTCAAATCCAAAAATGACTTTAAAATTCCTGCTTTCTTTGAGAAACTATTGTGTGTTTATCAAAAGATTATTTATTTACATATACTTTGACTCCATTTCCATTTCCAGACTTTAAAACCTCTTACTAATGTTTACAAATGATCCAGTCTTTTGTGATATACACATTATTTTTAATTTATGCTAAACTCATATCTCCCAAAATTCATGAGGTATTTTCTTGCCAAAACCCAGTGCACTTTGTTCACTCCCAATCATTCTCAAGGTTCAAGACTTACGTTGTAAAACAGTGAGCAGCACTCACAAGCCATGTGGCATTAATTAAGGTTGCTCCACAGCGATGACTCCCATCCCACTGCAGGCTAGCCTGCCAGGGCCATTCACCCTCTTCTACTTCTGTCCCACCAACGATCCTGAGACTCTGACCTAGAGTTTTACTTCTTCGTGTTCCGCAGCCTGCAAAAGAGAGAGGGGGGGTGCATTGGTGGGTGCATTAATTAGCAGTTGTTTTGCACATCAAATTGTGTTACTATGTCCCATATTTCTTCTACTTTGTGCTCCAAAAGTATCAAATGTTTTCTCATGCTCTTACCTTTCTGTAAACTGTAATGTTTTATTTAGCTAACTCCTGTTCATTTTGTAAAATCTAAATCAGTTGTTACCTCTCTAGGATGCTTTCTCTAACTCCCCTGTCTCCAATCTGGATTAGTTATTACTTTCTTGGTGCTTCCAAAATAATAATAGTAACAAATACACTCTGTGTGTGTGCTTATGTGTATAACAAACACACTCTGTATGTGTGCTTATGTGTATGTATACATACTGACATTGTTTATGACAGGGTTCCTCAACCTTAGCACCACTAACATATTGAACCATTTAATTCTTTGTTGTAGGGGGCTGCCCTGTGCATCATAAGATCTTGGCCTATATACTGTAGATCCACTGTAGATGCCAGTAGCCCTCCCCCTATATTCATGACAAAAATGCCACAGTGGGGCATGATAGCTTGGCCAACAATATTTCCCTTGGTTGAGAAGTGTTGTTTAAGAATGATGTGTTCATGAATTAGTCTCATGCACCTAGTCCCATTAAAGTATAAGGTGCTTCAGGTAGAGATATTATATCTTATCCATTTGGAATGCCTGTTGTCTAACACAGTGCTAGCACATGGTAGGTTCCCAATAAATATTGGTGGTGAGAATATATGCTATTTAGGTAATGAGATTATCTTTTGGTTTTGTGTTTAGTTGATTTTAGAAATTAACCAACTATATGAGCTGGTGAGTAGCACATATTTTTCCACCTTTTAAGAGAAATGTAATGTGCAACAACCCCATAACTATTGAATGTATACTGTAAATCATGGTGGCATACTTGGCTATAGGAGAAGAAAAGTGCTAGGCCTAGACTCAGCACTTTTATAATATAGGTGAAGATATTATCTATGTGTCTTCAGTAATTTTATTAAAATATACCCCATAATTTCCTGCACTTTCTGTGACTCTTCCACGACCCGATAATTTCCTGCACTTTCGTATTAATCCGTAGGATTAATAACATCAAGAAGATTTTATCTAGGATATAGTGACAATGAGTTTCTGCCTCTAGCTGAAAAACACAATGTATAGATTTGTTTTATCTTATAGATACCTACAAACAGAACATTGATAAGTAAACATTTCTTGCCTCTTCTTTAACAGCTGTACAACTCAATTCCACTACACATCTGCCACAGGCACCCATACATCCACTCCAAAGTTATCTCAATTTTGCTATCCTTTACTAATAAAATGTATCTCCAAGATATGATAAAGTACCATGAACTGTACACAAATTAATCAAACTTTATGTGTTCTGTCCCTATGATATCAACACAAAGTAAACCTAAATGACCTATAGTGTTAGCTTTTTACCTTCAGGTAATGCTATTTCAATAAATATATTAAACTTACAATGGTTTAGATAGCTGTCTGTTTCTGTCTTGTTGATTTCTGAAACACACAGAAATGGCAAATAGGGTCAGCACATCAGAGTTACACTATGCCTCCGAGTATTTCAAATACTAAAAGGCTGCTTAATTTTATTATAAAACAGTATCTCTAGATTATAAAGAAGGCAACATAGCTTGTCATAGACATAGGATGATCATCACATTGCAGAGAATGTGAACGGTGTGTTAAACTTTAATGTGGGTAAGAGTCACATAGGAAGCATATTTATAATGAAACTCCTGTTCACCTTCCCAGTAACTCTAATTCAGTAGCTTGTAATGACGCCCAAGAATTTGGATTTTATACCAGTAAATAAGATGCAGAGAGTCCACAGCCCCTCCATGGGAAATACTACTCTAAACCATAGTATTAATTCCCCAAATGTAACAATACCTTTATTAACCATTATTTCAGATTGTATCATTGAGCTCATAAGCCTAGTCC
Organism: Homo sapiens; assembly: GCF_000001405.40. Taxonomy (NCBI): domain Eukaryota; kingdom Metazoa; phylum Chordata; class Mammalia; order Primates; family Hominidae; genus Homo; species Homo sapiens. The sequence continues at coordinate 167,962 of NT_167250.2, read as the reverse complement.
CATTTGTATAACACACCTGAGTAGCATCTCCATAAATTTGTACTCACTCACAGTTAAAAACAATGTTACCCTTTTTGAAGTCAAATTTCAAAAGACAGTCTGCCCTCAAATTGTCATTTAGCTCCAGCCAATGACTTCTTAGCTTGCTGACTTCTCACTAGTCAGTCTCAAACCCTATGCAAACACTAACCCAGCTAATAGATACATAAAACTCTAAGCTCAAACTTTCTGACTCAGCAGAGTTCTAATGACCAAAACTATTCTTTGTACATGGAAGGATGGATGCTCTAAATGCAAAAATATTAGTGTTAATTTTTTTCTTTAGTATTTAATAGTATGAATGAAGTGGAAATCTATATTCTAGAAGGCCTTCTTTCTGACTTTATTTATTCTGGCTACTTGTGGGGAAAATGGCAAAAATAAGGAAGAATTTACAATTTAGTCTCAGTTAATATTAAAAGGACCACCTCTGATCTCTTTGTTTCAAATAACCTGTTCTCTATCTCAAGCTCTTCCTAGGAAAATGTCAAGCTCTGAGTATTGATAGCACTGACAAGGCTGGCTTCATGTGTGACTTATACATCTGCACTGGGTCTCACACTCACAATGGCCTTGTGCTTGGTACAATGCTCTGCTATTGCTCACTTGACATTCTTAATAATTTTATCTTGTAACTTGTGTTTTGAAAATGAAGTTCAATAGGATAATGGATTATAGTGTTGGCAGACAAGATATGTGCAATAAGTGTGTCCATAGTTTCTTTCCACTCCATTTGCATATATCATTCACAATTCCCTATGAAATCAGAATTCTAGTGGACCCACAATCCACAGGGGTTCAGCAAGACTCAAAGCAAGTACAAGGTAAGTGTGCTATCCCTTCCATTAAGTAAGCAGAGGTGGACTGACATGCCTTGGAGGCCATGTTTTCTGTTTGAACCAAAACTTGCTTAGAACCCATAGAAAAGACAATAGCATTCTAATAAACACAAATGAACAACAGATCCTGCCATATCCTTTCTTGCTTCTGTTACTTCTGTGTATTAGCCAACAACTTTTGCTGAAAACTACAATGTAGAAAGAGAAAGATAGGGAAATCCAGATCTCCTTTTCCTTCTAGTCCTTCCTCACCCCTCAATAAGCTGAAGGTAGAGAGTGTTGGTAGAATTTTCTCATATTAACCAGGAAAATAAAAAGAGTCATTAGCCTTTTGTACTATTTCCATTGAGGCAAAAATGAAAAACATGTATGTATAAGCTACGAAATATAGTTGCATAATTTCCATGATTTGAAATACAAGTTAAATGTACTTATATATGCATTTATATCGACATTGCATGATATAAACAATTAAACTCATATTAGTAATCTACAAATTTAATTTTTTTCTCTTAGAATGACAATAATCAGCAAATGAAAACACCATGGAAAGTCGAGAGCGAGACCAGGGAAGAAAGAAAAGTGTTATATCTTTGTACTTTTAACAGCACTTTTTTCTTGCTTTTTGAAAACAGGTCTAGCATTTTCATTTTGTGCTAAGGCGCATAAATTATGTATCTGTCCCTGACTACTGAAGCCTCCTTCCTAAGCAAGTGGGTTGGCTGGCCATCAATTTAGGCATCTACTTAGATCTATCAGATATTATATTAGCAGTTTGTATTCATTCTCTCTACTTGTCCCCTACTCTGTAGTTTCCAGTGCTGCCATATCCACTACTGTATCCACTAGCCACCTGTGGCCAATGAGCTTTTGCAGTGTGGCTAGTCTAAATTGAAATGTACTATCAGTATAAAATGTACGCTAGATTCCAGAGCCTTACTACAAAAAAAAGTGAAATATTTGATGAATAATTTTTACATTGACTATTTGTTTAAATGATAATACTTTGGACATATTGGGTTGAATATACAAATTATTGAAAATTAATTTTACATGTTTATTTTTATTTTTAATGTAACTTCTAGAAAATGTAACATTATACTTGTGCCCAGATAGTATTTCTATAGACCTTCATTGTTCTGTAACATATGAACCAGCCCTTAGCCAGATCTTAATTTCCACTGAGGATCTCATATTTCTTATTTTCTAAATGTGAGGACCTATCATCACTTGTTTTGTCCCATGTGGCCCTACAAACAATAACAACAAGAACAACAAAAATCTACCTAAATTTTTCATTTATAGTTGTAAATATACCAAAAATAAGTTTATTATAAATGTTTCACTGGTGAAAAGTTTAAGGGAAGAAAGTATAGCAAGGTATATTAATGACATTTGAAAACAAATGTGTAAATGGCATGAACCTTTCCATATACCACACCCTCAGAACATACAATGAAAGCAACAAGAAAAAGAAGAAAATACAAAGCCATTTTCTTCACTTATAATTGGATTCTATAGCCAAACTATAAAGTGTAATATAAAGAAAACTGCTAAGGAGTTAATAAAAAGCTTGCATGGGAGGCCTAAGTTTAGGGTAGTCTTAAAAATTAAAATACTTCATTAGGACAAATTTAGTTCCAAAGAAATATACTGTTGGTGGCAAGACCCCAGAATTAAAGGACATCAAAAAAAATTTTTTAATAAGTGCCAAGATCAAACCTAACATGAAGCTGTTCTATGAAAGAAAAATAAGAGAAATTAACTTACTTTTAATTTTAACTGACTGAGGATCTACTTTAGGGGGTCCTACAGCATCTTGCAGCTTTTCATGTAAAACAAGTTGAACAATTTTATCTACAGTTTCAGGATCCTCAGTAGAGTGAAATCTACAAATCAACAGCATATGAGCCAACACTCCATGCTTCTGTTGACTGTGGGCCAAAAAAGAAGAAAATGAAAGAAAGAAAAGAAAAGAAGAAAGAAAGGCAGGAAGGGAGGGAGGGAGGGAGGGAAGGAGGAAGTGAAGAAAGGAGGGAGGGAGGAAAGAAAGAAAAGAGAAAAGGAAGGAAGGAGAAGGGAAAGGAAAAAGGAAGTGAAGAGAAGGGAATGGAGGGGAGGAAGGAGAGAGAGGGAGAGAGAGAGAAAGAAAAGAAAAGAGAAAAGAAAAGAAAGAAGGGTAATATCACAATCTGCTTTTTTCTTTATCACTTACATGAAATGCACACATAAAATACATCCATAAATGTTTCCTTCTATATTGCTACTGTTTACTATGTGAAGAACCACAAATTCAGCCTCTCATATAGTGAGTTAGTCTGTTCATGGTCTCCCTTACCATCAAAAGGTCTAGTTAAGTATATGGCTATTAATATAAAAAGACACCTTGTCAAAAACCATTCAAAATTATCAAATACAGTGTGTCTTAAATATGAAATCAACTGTGGTTTTGAATTTCAGGTTTTATTCTTGTGACTCAAGTCTACTTACCTCCCCTAAACAATCTTCAGGCTATCCTAAACAACTCCTAATCCTAAAGATATAAGACCGCTTTACCAAATTGTACTGACTTCATGTGACTGTATTTTCAACACAGAGCATTAATTAGTCTTAATACTATTTGTATGAATTACTACCTTGGAATCATCCTGCCAGCTACTTTACCCACTCCTTTTCATAGTCACTTCTGAATCTAACTCTTCACTATATATTGCATCAACCACTACTCTCATAAACTGGAAGTGGGAATACAAATTAGAGTCTTATTTTTGGATGGCAGTGTTATCTATTATAAGTTTGAATATCTGTCTTCTCTGGCACAGCATTTCCACTTCTAGAAATTAAACATTCAAATGCACTCATACATTTGTGCAAGGACATACCTATAAACATGTTAATTGTAACACTATTTTCAGGACACGAAAATAAGTAACAACCCAAGTATCCTAGTTGACAAAGCCAGTGGATTCTTTTCAATATTTATATTACTCAGTCAGGAATATTTGTCAATGCCGACCACACTCTCTTTGAAACTTCTTATCTTTTGCATCAGTGGTGATTCTGTCATGATTTTTCTATTTTCCTGCTCTTTCCCTATATCTAAGTTTCCTATATTCCTTCCATCACCTTAAATATTGGTCTTCAAGCTTTCTTTGTCATCCTTTTCATTCCCTTTTATTATTCTTTTTCTGAGAAATTTACACCCATGCTTCCAAATTTTTGAGTTGATCATGAGCAAATTTCTATCTTCTGCTCAGTTCCATTTCCCTCTACTGAGTCACCCTCATTTTTCAGGTTCATATGGTCCCTTAGAATGTAAATTCAACATCTCCAAAATTGACTTCATCTTTCCAATAAACTTGCTCTTCTCACTATTGCAGTAACAGAAGACAGAATAATGAGTAGCAGTAGCAAGATTACTGGAATAAAGAGGTGAGCAAATTGGAAAGTTATTGGGAAAATAGAATTAGTGGAACTTAGTTATTCATAAAGTATGAGGGGACCAGGAAAGGAAGGAGTGTTTGATGACTTCCAGGTTTCTCATTTATGTGATTGGATTCTTCCTGAGTTAGGGAATTTTCTGTGGAACTTCCACATGGGGATGTGTATATAGTTATAGAAATCAGAAAAATAGTTCAGACTAGAGATAGAAACTTGTATTTCAATAGCATATGAGACCATGTGGGTGAATGAGGTCCCTTTGAGAAAGTGAAACTTAAAGATAAGAGAAGTAGTTGCAGATCCAAGAAAGGGCAGTATCTCAAACACCAGAGAGTACAGAATTTTTAGAAGACAGTGATCAAAGTAATGCCTTAGAGATATCAGCTAAGTAATAGAATGGCAGGAAACTTTTAAAGTTTTGTCATTGGAATAATATTGGAAATAATTCTTATTCTGTTTTTTAATACAAATAATTTGTATTATGTCAATATCTTATTGAAAATTCTTATAATATTTTCCTTAACATTATGTACTAAACCCATTTATCAATAGTTAGTTGACAGATGAGATTTTCTCAGCTACATATTTTGAGAATGGAGGGATGGAATAGAAGAAGATAAAGAAGATTGATTAATAGGAGGAAGAAGAGCTAAAGACAAACCTGATCTACTATATTGTCTTACATGGGGCACTACTTGCCATTAAACCAAGGATGTGTGTTAGGTCTATCTGTATTTAGTACTATCTGTACTTGGTAAGTTTCCCAGAAAACAATTTTATAACATAGGCACCAATTATACCTCTGTCCCCAGCAACCATCTTGCAAATGCTTACTTTGGGATTTAAGGAATGAATAAGGGACTTTGTAACCCATGACTTACACAGGACAAGTGTCAAATGTTTGTTGGATTGAATTATATCTTTAACACTTGAAAACATATTTATTGCTGAGCAGATTAACAGCTTCAACTTTAAATTCAGAAGTCAGCAATTCAGATTTACATACCTGAACTTGATAACCTGAGACTTGACAAATTCTTCCCTTAATGGAGATTTATAAAATGCATTTTTCACCTGTTTGTAAAAATATTCAAAATATATCAGCAAGAACAACTTTCTGAAATTCCACAAATTAATTCAAAGCTTTTTAGAAAATTAAAAAACAAAACAGAGCAAAAAACATTGACATTTCACAGTGAGTGGAACTGAGGAAGCTTGAGGAATCTATTGTGGTTTTCTCAGTGATTTCAACTGAACGCTGTCTTAGGAATGATAGGAGTAGGGAACCGCAGTGGGGCCAGAAGTGATATCTGCTGTACTAATGCTCAGAAAGAGACCAAAGAAAATGAACATGCTGTTTCTTCAAAATTAAGAGTGAGAAATTTTACTCTGAAGTAAGGACTTTTACTGCCCATAGACAAAGGAAATGAAATAATTCTGCCACATAATACTTGGATTATAGAAATGAGTGCATGACCATGTCAAATGCTTCCCAAACCTAGTGACAAAGTTGTCAGTTTTCCTGGCATAATGTACACGAAGTTCAGCACTCCAAGTGCTCTTAGAAAGGCCCAGGTGAACTGGGATACTTAGCCTAACACACCTATGAGTTTTACTCTACTAAAGTGAAAGAGTCTATTTTTGTAGAGACGTTAGTTATTATTCTAAATAAGAATTCTAGGCAACTTAATTTTTTAATTAGGAGTTTATGTAAGGAAACACTCAAAGGTGTCTTGTTTCCAGTATGTGGATATTTAGTAAACACTTACTACATGCTGGTGATTAACAGAAGCAATGAGCCTTTTAATTCTTTCTTACATTTTATTAATTCCGAATTTTTTTACTAAGGACACTTCTTGCGATTATGAGACAAAGCTGAATAGCAGAAGTCCTCTGAATAGGATGGCAGTATTCACAAGAAAATTTTTATTTAAGGGTTAATTTTTGTCAAGTAACTTCAAAACTATTATTAATTTTGAAGGCATTAAAGAGCCTTATGTATATTCCTTTAGATTTAAATCTGTCTGGATTTTATTTACTTAAATAAAATTTATTTGAATGAATGGCACAAAGAACAAGGGAAATAGTGGCATCTCTTCTTGACCTTTTTAATTCAATTTCATTTCCTTCATTTTGCATATGTATTTAGCCTTAGAGAAGAGCCTGGTCAAATATTTCCCTGATTTGGTGTTTGCAAGTGCAAATGTAACCAGGATTCAACCACTGTCTCAGCAAGGTGGCCAAATCCCCAGGCTTCTGTCTACTGGGCGGTTTCCAGGGTCTCACTTCCATTCTTATTCAGGTTATTGGAACTGGAAGACAATTTGGAAATTATCTAACCTAATACCTTAATTTTCAATTTACAGAACTTTGTGCAGAATGATAAACTAATATTCCAAGTGATGTATCATTACCTAGTAGATACCATTGGAGATACATGTGCCTCCCAGCTCCCAGTTCAGTGTTCTTTCCATCACATTATATCATGAATTACCTCACAGGTTTCCAGGAAAAGTTAAATTATTCTTTAATTAATCTGATAATGACAAGAAGTTACCACTTAGGCCCTTGTTCTTTTGGCCCATGCTGCTAATTTTTCCAGTTTCTTAAGTATTTAATTGATCCCTCAAGATGAATGTTGATGCGTTAAGGGTAGAGTTGCTTATCTGTGGATTTACATACCAAAAGCTAGTTGAAGGTTAAATATTTTTAAAAACTGGGTAGAGTTGCATATCTGTGGATTTACTACAGATTTATATACCAAAAGCTGGTTGAAGGTTAGATATTTTTAAAACCTAACAGACTATTTAGGTATGTGCCTAAATAGTTTCAATCTTGGCAATCTTCTGCTCGGGGTCTCTTTTTTAGGAAGTCTAGGATACAACAAATATATTTTAAGCCACACTCACATTTCCAGAATCTCTGGACTCTACTGATCAAGAGTATATCACTAGCTAAGGAAAGGTGAGTAAGAAGGACCTGACCGAATGGCTAAAGTTTCTTTGGTTCAACCCTGTGAGTCATATTGTGCTAAGTGATGTATTGTCCATTTTGTTTTATATTCCTTGGGTTAGGGCCTCTTTTCATTTTGCAAATACACAGGGATCCGTTAGTTGAATGGATCTTTTAGAAGCTAGGATGCTAAAAATATGGTAAAAAGTGAAAGCAAATGCACTAGAAGTAGATGACAAGTTGCTTACCATTGATTCAAGTCTCTGGCTCATTTCTGTAAAATTGTTAGAAGCCTCTCTGCCAAACTCAGCATATAGTTTGTCAGTTGTAAATGACAATGTGCTATAGTAATTGTAGGTCTTCTTTTGATCTACAAGGAAAGAAGCAAAACACTATCATAATTTTTATCAGATGTGTGTAAAGCATCATTATATCCCCGCTTGGTGGTTGCTGGAAGACTGAAACAGGAAGGAATGCTCTTAGCACAGGTCATCATCATCATCCTGCCCCAGGCCTCATAGTTATCTCAGGATAAAAAACAACAACATTTATCATCATGTGATTTAGAGAATAAAAGCTGTAAGAAATGCCTGGTGTTCCTGGAGTACTGTACAAGTAGCTCATTGGAACAGTGGGCTGATTATTCATGTGTTACTCATTCCTAAGTAAGCCACAAGAGACAGCAAGTCATGCCATCTGAGCATACAAACAGGGATGGATTCAGAAGCCTCCCAAGGGTCACTGCATTTTTATATTCCAAACATAGATTTTCTTTTCCCTTCCATCAACTATACATCAATTCTGGCCGCAAGAACTCTAGTTTGAGAAAATTTATTTTGGCTGAAAAGGAAGATGAGGTTAGGAATTAAAATGCAAGGGATTCAGTAAATGGAAGTTTAGGGAGCTAAAGTTGCCACCTGGCATAACCTTCCAGGGACACTATTTAGTTTCACCTGGGTCCTTTGTCACTGCATGTATGTTTTTCCCACCAACCACAGGGGTTGGCTTGTCTGCTCCTTAGCCACTGTCTCTACATTCTGCATTCAATTTAAGCAACCCACATTTTTGACCTGCTGAAAAGTTAATGTGATATAACTTTTCCTCTACCCTCCAGTGCATAAAGCAAGCAGACAGCCCTCAGAAAATTAATGTATTCATTCAACAAATATTAATGCCAACCACTTTTCAGGAAGAGACACTGTGTCAACCATTAGAAATACACTGGTGATCAAGACAGTTGTATATAGTTACTATAGGAAAGCAGACTGTGGCTCATCCAGTCACAGTCTCTCTCCTCCTTTCTCTTCCTCCCTATTCTTTCCCTCTTCACTTAAACCACAGAAGAAAAGGAAACTAACACTGGACACCAGTGTCCCTAGTACATTCACATATCTCATTTAATTTACAATAACTCCATGAAAAGGCAATGTTATCCACATTTAATAGATTACAGTCTTGGAAATGTAAATAACTTGCCCAAGTCCAGCAGGACATAGCCAAGACTAACTCCCAAAGTACCCACTTACTTCACATGCTGCTTCTTAGAGTAGGAAAAAAAGCCACTTATTAAAGCTAGAGGACAAATCTTTTGTTGTATAAAAGTTATGCAAAAAACTACTGGTGTATTTCAAATAAAACACCCTGGCCATCCAGAGGATTTGATGGGACAGAGAGGGAAGCAGCCATCAGACTCTGACAAGGGCTTGGGTGCGGTTGGTGATGAATAAAAGAGATGAATGGCAGGCAGGAGACACTGAAAGTTGAGTCACCAGAGTACAAGAGACCTAAGTGAAGGACTTGGGAGGTTTTACTCTTCCTCCATCCTTCCTCACCTCCCTTTCTCTGAATGGCCAGGGTGACATGAAATTCAGGCAGGTACCTGGAAATATACATAACTTCAAGTAAGATTTTAAATTTATTGAAATACTGGGAAATAACTCATAACTATCTCTGTAAACTACTGTTCTACTACATTTGTATTTTTTAACATCTGCCTCATAGTTAACTATAACTCTCTGTGGAGTTGTATCCATTCTTCTAGAATTCTGCTTCAAATTTTAATGTGAAAGTGAACTGCCTAGGGAGCCTGTTAAAATGCACATTCTGGTACATGAGGTCTAAAGTTAGACTCAAGATTTTGCATTTCTAACAAGCTAGCAAGTGATGTTGATGCTTCTGGTAGCTAATCACATATTAAATAGCAAGATTCTAGACAGAATGCTAACAGACCCTTCTACACCCTTAAATGTAGTTTTTTGGCTTATTAGATTGAATGATTTAAAATCACCATTAGTACAGGTCAAAAATAGTCAAATATTGGCAATTTCATATGGTTTAACCAAGTTAACAATTTATTATCTGTGCTCAGTATTTTACTTTACCCTGTAGACTTAAGCATGCCACTGTTAAAACATATTACCAGCTGCCATAAATATATGGTATGAGTAGTTACTAAAATATGTTGGGAATATTAACAGAAAAGTTAAAAATAAGGATAAACATGAGTTTGTTGGTAAATTTCTAGCAGTTTTGTGATTCTATAATCTGCAGTGATGTTGCTTATAACAGATTCATCTTCTGACATCCAAATTACACAGGGGCAGAAATGCACCCCCAAAGGCCCCAGACACGAACCATACACAGAATTCTACATTGTCCTGGGCTTTATGAAATGAGAACCAAAATGATATTTTTCCAAATCTGATTACCTTTGTCTGTATCTGTCTATTTCTGTGACAGATTTTTTTGGTTTGGTTTGATTTGGTTATTTTGGCATGTCAGCTTCTAAATATTTGTCTGCCAAAGCCACTCGGTTAGTTTACATCCCAAAACAGAAAGCAGGTCACAAATAGAAGGCAGTAACACACATCACAACAATCACTGTTTATTCAGGTGTACTGTGTGGGCAGTAGAAGCTGTGTGTTCAGTATTACTCAGTTGATCATCCAAACAACAGGATTCAGGAACAGGTTACTGAAAAAATTCTTGCCAAGTTTTCACTGTATACATATGACTAAGATTTATGAATCTTATAAAACTTGGCTTGGGAAGAGGCAAATGAGAAGTAGAAAGGGACATTTTCTCTCACTGAGGTGATTAGCCCCTAGTGTTACTAGGAATTCCTTGTGAAGTCAGACAAGCCGAAGTATGGCCCAAGAAAATATTGTAGGCATGATTCATTTGATATTATCATTCAGTATTTAATAAATATTTATAAAGCACATAACATGTGCCAAGATTCTGATAAATTCTAGACACACAAAAGTGTGTAAAACAGTCCTAGACATCCATGGGGACAAATAATGATGCTTACAACAAAGTAGGACTCAATATTCTCAGCAGAACTGTAGAACTATAAAGTTATTCCAGCAATTCATTTTTATTTAAAGTATGCTTCAGTCCCAGCACAGTGGCTTATGCCTGTAATCCCAACACTTTGGGAGGCCAAGGAAGGCAGATCTTTTGAGGTCAGAAGTTCGAGACCAGCCTGACGAACATGGTGAAACCCTGTCTCTGCTAAAAATAGAAAAAATTAGCCGGGTGTGGTGGCGCATGCCTGTAATCTCAGCTACTCAGGAGGCTGAGGCACAAAAATCACTTGAACCCAGGAGGCAGGGGTTGCAGTGAGCCGAGATCGAGCCACTGCACTCCAGCCTGGGAACAGACCAAGACTCCGTCTCAAAAAGCAAAAAAAAAGTGTGCTACAGAAAAATCTGTTATTAATATGCAGATACTCCAAATTTAAAGACTTGCCTGTATGCAAATTCTACCAAAAAAATCTTTGTTTTAAATATTTTTTTAAACTATCCAGAAATGATCCACCTTGCTTTGTAAATTGAGATTATACTTGCGTGGATAGTAGAGGAAGATAACCAGGTTACAGAGTACTCTTTCTCGTTACTGGAAAGAAACTTCAACAAGGTCCCAATTAAATTAGAATCAAGTTATTAGCTTCTATGGTTACGGTGCCTTGAACATCCAAGTATAATCTAGTAACAGAGGAAGATATTAAACTAACAGGTCATGGTTGAGTCAAGTAATTAAAACCCTAGGCAGAGTAGGAGGAAACTTCAGAAGGGCTGTTACATCCCAGAATAACAGTTCTGAAGTACCCTGGAGACCTTTCTAATAACATAGCAACTAACAGTTCATCTAGCAATGAGGTACCTGATAACCGCAGGGTGAACATCTTTATAATTAGCTTTCTTGGCATACCCTATCCTCTTTAATCACTTACAATATATCCTAAGATGAGATTTTAATAACAGAAATAGGCACTTACTCAACAATACATCACTATGACTATTTTTGTAACTTACTGGTACAGAATAGAGCCTACTTCTTTATGACTCCAGATTGTGTCATTGATTTATTGGGATGTCAGGACTTCAACGAGTTGGATTTTTTTTTTTTCTTTTTGAGACCGAGTCTCTCTCTCTTGCCCAGACTGGAGTGCAGCGGTGTGATCTCGGCTCACTGAAACCTCCGCCTCCTGGGTTCAAGTGATTCTCCTGCCTCAGCCTCCCCAGGAACTGGGACTACAGGTGTACACCATCACACCTGGCTATTTTTTTTTTTTTTTTTTTTAGTAGACACGGGGTTTCACCATGTTGGCCAGCCTGGTCTCAAACTCCTGACCTCAAGTGATCCACCCGCCTCAGCCTCCCAAAGTGCTGAGATTACAGGCGTGAGCCACTGCACCCGGTCAGAATTATTTTAAATCAAGATGCTTGCCCTGTGACCTCAAACAACTCAAGACATTGGTTCTAGCTATCCTGTAGTTTTCCTTTGATTAATACTCACTTATTGCTTATTAAGGAAGATGCAAATAAGCATGCTGTTCCCAGCAGAAAGCATCACTACATCAAAGATAGAAAAAAGAATCCTCCTTGACTTATGAGGACTAAATAAGAGAGAAAGCAGGTAAAGATCCCTTTGTACAGGCTATGCAAATGAATCGTAGTGATAAATGAATAAGCCTGAGGCAAATCAAAACAGCAAGGTATGAGGAAATATTTGGGGTAAATCACATGATGCCAAGGCAGCTTATACTTACTATATCTCACATAATGAACAGTGAGTCCAATGCACACTGCCAGGACAATCAGGGATATGAAGATGACGAGGCCGATAACCCAGGGTTCCCAACAAACTCTTTTCCTAGCCCTCACCACATCTGGCCTAAGGAAGAAAATAAATAGATAGATTATTTCAGAGCATGCAACACATCCACTCATTAGACAAAACAGATATTTTGGGGGAATAAAGGACATTCAGTTGGAGGGTCGTGTACTGTCTGGGTTTAGAGCACACCCTGGTTCCAGGCTGCTGAGGCCAGTCCTGACTCTGACTCCTGTTGCTAGGCAAGTAGTTTGACTTTTGTGCTTGGGTTTCCTCATCCATAAAAGGAAGATGATAATGATAGTACCTATTTCATATGATTATTGTGAGGATTAAATGAAGTACTACATATAAAGTGCCTGTAACAATGCCTGACATGTAGAAAAGTGCAATATTAAATGTTAGCTATCACTTGTTGAGCCAGCCATGTACTTGATATAGAGTTAGACACTGCAGGGGCTACAAAAATATTTTAAGCCTTTTCTCTAGCACTCTAGAATCTTAAATAGCCTTTGAAGTGTGTTACAGCTTGAAGCATACCAGGTTTCACATGGAGTTGCTAATTCTATTCTTCTAATTTTCTGATCTATTTCCAAACCAAACTTTGAGGATACATAGAAGAAACAACCAGAGGCCCCTTCCTAAAGAACCTGAGGTTTTGAGCTAATATTTACCTTTAAGCTTTAATGATGCTACAGAAGGCCGGGCACGGTGGCTCACGCCTATAATCCCAGCACTTTGGGAGGCCGAGGCGGGCGGATCATGAGGTCGGGAGATCAAGACCATCCTGGCTAACATGGTGAAACCCCGTCTCTACTAAAAATACAAAAAAATTAGCCGGGCATGGTGGCAGGCGCCTGTAGTCCCAGCTACTCTGGAGGCTGAGGCAGGAGAATGGCGTGAACCTGGGAGGCGGAGCTTGGAGTGAGCTAAGATCGGGCCACTGCACTCCAGCCTGGGCGATAGAGCGAGACTCCGTCTTAAAAAAAAAAAAAAAGCTACAGGAAATTCTTTTTGCATGAGATTCCCTCAACTTCTATTTGTTCTGCCTTCAAAAATACATGTTACTGAAAAACATTGATCCACATGATTTTTGTTTGATTGGTAAAGTTGCTGTCCCATTGGGTTATAATATTTGGTAAGCAAACTCTAAAGCCAGAAATGTGAAATAATAAGTCAGAGATGACTAAGGAGTTTGAATATGATACTCTTATTTTAGATTTCTTGAGGTATTTACGCCAGTGTGTGCTATGCTTTTTTCTTTTTTCTAGAGTGCTAACTGTCTGCTACATGAGGACTTGAGGAAAACATGGTATTCTCCTGGAGGAGTACTGGGTGTTGAATCAGAATAAGGAGAATTCTAAGTGCAGCCCTTTCATTAACAGATCAGCGACGGAAAAATCATTTAAACTCTGAGCTCAATTTCCCCATATATCAGTAAGGGGCGGGATAACCATTCCGTCTAAAGCACTTTGGGACCTAAAATTAGATCATGAACGTGTAAACAGCAAAGCATTTCACAATAAATGCCTTTTGTTTACAGAAAACAAGAACGCTCTGTTTCCTGATGATATAGGATCAGGAAGTGATAATATTATCATGTTGGCCCCTGTCACACCATCATTAGATCCTGGCTCTGGCTGGACACAAAATAAAGAGCATTGGCATAGAAGTCAATGGTGTTATCATCGCTGTATAATCCTGTCCCTGGGAAAGGGACTGAGATGTAGTGGAAGGCTCCAGGGGCTCTGCTTGTTCTCCTGCCTTGTTCCTGTGATTTTTCCACGGGGCCGTAACCAGGGAAGCTTTTATCTTACTCTCCTCAACCTTTCCCATCTCCAGTTTTCCCTTGAGTAGAATTCCAAACACCTGTTCCTAGAATGTCAATTACTGCAATATAAAAAGTCTTCTCCACAATGAGATTATGTTTTATGTGCAACTGAGCCTAAGAAACCCCCAAAACTGACTCTTCTTCCTTCATCCCTGAATGCTTGCTATTAATCTGTTACAGAAGAAAGGAGATGGGTATAACACACGTAAGCAAAACTTTGGGGGGAATACAGGGAGAGAAGGGTTTCTCAACTAATATCAAAACATGTCAGATGAAGAAAATGAATGTGTGCTTGTAGAAAACATGAAATTATCAAAAGTATATGATTGTTATATAGAATTGTGAAATATTAGACACGTTCTATTTGTTCTACAGTAAGTTTTAATCAAGACAAAAATGTAAGCAATGCAGCCATTCTATTGATGAAGTAGGTTTCATGTATTAACATTAAAAAGGTTAATGATAAGTTTCAATTTTAAAAAGTTATAGAATAATATGCATTTCATGTTTCGGTTTTCATAAATAATGAAACTATATATGTGTGTGCATAACAAAATATATAGAAGACACAACCAATGTTTATTAGTAAGAAGCCGAATAACAAATAAGTGAGAAATTTTAATTTTAATTTATGGATTTGTTTGTTTTATGGTGGATTTTTTAAGAACAACATTATGGCGTTTGAATTAAAAAAAAGAGAGCGAGAGACATAGGACATTCTTAAAATATGAAAAAAAAACTAAGGAAGATTATATATGTATTTTCATGGAATTTACATCACTGCAGTGTCCAAGGTACCACTGTGATTCTTCTTCTGACCCCCACCTTTCCACATTACTCACAACTATTTTAGTGACATGCTCTCCTGAGTGGCTAGAAGTAGACAAAAGGGATAATATGGGACAAAGGAAAAAGAGAATCCAGTCAAAAATACTTTGAATAAACAATTAAGAGATTATATTTCTGAGCCCTGCCACCAACTCATTTATTATATAGTCTTGTACGCAGAGATTCAATTATCTGTCTTAATTTCTCCATATGAAAAACAAGGATAATAAGTCCAGACCCCTCCTAACCTAATGAGCTAGGTAGAGATAAAAATGAGAAGGCGGTTTGGTACTTTGAGCTCCCAAGTGGAAAAATCATTGTACAAATAACGAGGATGATAATTATCATCATCATTATTTTAATTATTAGTAATAGTGGTAATGACCACATTACTAAGATGTTTGTCACTTGAAACATTATTTGTTCTTTTCCCAGTCTGTATAGCATTGTTTTTCAAACTGATTCACCCTATTTTTTAGCTTTTTTGAGATATAATTGATCCTATTTCTTAGTTACTTTTTTATTTTCTCAGTAAGTGATTCAATACTGAATTCCTCCAAATTAGATGTGAAAAAAGTATGCTCAAAGAAAGTAGTAAAGTGAAGGAATAAATTTATTTTACATATCAACAGACGTTTGTATAATTAACCTCCTCCTGAACATACATAAACACTTGTCCAGTCAATATTTTCATCTATCAAAACTTATGTGCACCTATTCGTGTAAAATCACCTTCAGATAGACTGATTGAATTCTAACAGCTTTAGTAATATCAAATTTCTTTCTTTATATGATTTTCTTTTCAATCTGGAGACATGTATAATTAGTGACAAGTCAAGTGAATATAACAGTTAAAGTATGCTTTGTTTTTTTAGCCCCAAATTGCCAGAAAACAAGCAATATGCTTAGGCTGCATTATTATTATTGCTTATTAATGTGTAATTTTTAGAATAGTGCTAAAAAAGAAAAGCAGCAGCAACAGCAAAAAGACAAGGGGAAAATGTACTAGTGCAAATAAAGCTAATGGCAAGCACTGGAAAATGACAAGTCAAGGCTCAGTGTTTCAAAGAAAAATTTACCAGAAGAAGCCTCTTCACAGCAATACCACCAATCAATAGTTGGTCTTTTAAAAAAAGAAAAATTATACTTTAAGTTTTGGGGTACATGGGCAGAATGTGCAGGTGTGTTACATAGGTATACACGTGCCATGGTGGTTTGCTGCACCCATCAACCCATCATCTACATTAGGTATTTCTCCTAATACTATCCCTCCCCTAGCCCCCCACCCACTGATAGGCCCCAGTGTATGATGTTCTGCTCCCTGTGTCCATGTATTCTCATTGTTTAACTCCCACTTATGAGTGAAAACATGCAGTATTTGGTTTTCTGTTCCTGTGTTAGTTTGCTGAGAATGATGTTTCCGGCTTCATCCGTGTCCCTGCAAAGAACATGAACTCATCCTCTTTTATGGCTGCATAGTATTCCATGGTGTATATGTGCCATGTTTTCTTTATCCAGTCTATCATTGAAGAAGAAATGAGATACGTATAACAGACATCATTGATGGGCATTTGGGTTGGTTCCAAGTCTTTGCTATTGTGAACAGTGCCGCAATAAACATACGTGTGCATGTGTCTTTATAGTAGCATGATTTATAATCCTTTTGGTATATACCCAGTAATGGGATGTCTGGGT
This sequence comes from Homo sapiens, assembly GCF_000001405.40. NCBI lineage: Eukaryota > Metazoa > Chordata > Mammalia > Primates > Hominidae > Homo > Homo sapiens. Next base: position 151,216 of record NT_167250.2, on the reverse strand, counting down.
CAAATAGTATTTCTGGTTCTAGATCCTTGAGGAATCACCACACTGTCTTCCACAATGGTTGAACTAATTTACACTCCCACCAACAGTGTAAAAATGTCCCTATTTCTCCACATCCTCTCCAACATCTGTTGTTTCCTGACTTTTTAATGATCGCCATTCTAACTGGCATGAGATGGTACTCATTGTGGTTTTGATTTGCATTTCTCTGATGAACAGTGATGATGAGCTTTTTTTCATATGTTTGTTGGCTGCATAAATGTCTTCTTTTGAGAAGTGTCTGTTCATATCCTTTGCCTACTTTTTTATGGGGTTGTTTTCTTCTTGTAAATTTAAGTTCTTTGTAGATTCTGCATATTAGCCCTTTGTCAGATAAATAGATTGCAAAAATTTTCTCCCATTCTCTAGGTTGCCTGTTCACTCTGATGATAGTTTCTTTTGTTGTGCAGAGGCTCTTTAGTTTAATTAGATCCCATTTGTCAATTTTGGCTTCTGTTGCCATTGCTTTTGGTGTTTTAGTCATGAAGTCTTTGCCCATGCCTATGTCCTGAATGGTATTGCCTAGGTTTTCTTCTAGAGTTTTTATGGTTTTAGGTCTTACATTTAAGTTTAATCCATCTTGAGTTAATTTTTGTTTAAGGTGTAAGGAAGAGGTCCACTTTCAGTTTTCTGCATATGACTAGCCAATTTTCTCAACACCATTGATTAAATAGGGAATCCTTTCCTCATTGCTTGTTTTTGTCAGGTTTGTCAAAGATCAGATGGTTGCAGATGTGTGGCATTATTTCTGAGGCCTCTGTTCTGTTCCATTGGTCTATATATTTGTTTTGGCATATGATATGTATTTGACCGTAGCTTAGCTCATAGGATTGTGCCTGCTTATCCTATCAACAAAAGTATTTGAGATGTGTTTTACTTTGTGAAAAGCCCAAACCAGCAAGCATTGGTGACATAATTAATCCTTCTCACACTTTCTAGAACAGGACTATAAAAATATCCACAGTAGAAATAAAACAGAATATCATATATACGTGCATGGATTATATATTTTCATTGCTGTTTTTTTAAAAAAAGAAGAAATACAAGCAAATTACTCCACATAAAATTACAAATAACATATTTCTGTCCTATCCACTGGAAGATAAAACACATCTATAAGTATCTGATAGCATCAGCCAGGCGCTTGGGCTGAATCACAATGTTTGCATTCCCTACCATAATAATTACGGCTAGTTCTCATAGAGAAGTTACAAAACCCAGAGTTTAACTATTTCTGTTTAGCCAACCATAAAACTTACGTGACAGTATCTTTCCCTTACCTTTAAAAGGAGGTTGTGAAGATTGCATATGATATCAATAGACTTTGTTAGATAGGTGTACTACATAAATATTAGTGGCAACTCAACAGTAAGGAATGTCTCTGACCTCCACTGTGATTATCATCAAGGTTTTATTAAGTTCCCAACTAAATATGGTACAGCACAGGTGACTACAAACTGATATTTAAGTTGACACTTGGCCTGATCTCTAGAAATTTGCAACTACATACAGATAGGTGGGTTGCAAAAAAATTAAAGATATTATTAAGTAATTAGTTATGGGTTTATAGACTTAAACTAAGCTACTGAAGTTTGAATTCTACTAATATATTTGCTTTCTTTTCCTCAAACTCTTTTTAGTTCAAGATAATAAACTGGCATTACCTGAGCAACTTTATACACAACAATATCCCACAGCAAAGTTAACGAGCGATGCCATTGCAGCCAATCATAGGGAATTTTACACACTTCAAAATGTGGAAGAAAAATAAGAATTAACAAGCAGTGTGCTGATATCACTGCAAGTGTATCAGAAGAAAAATGATTGAGAAACCTGAGCTAGAGACACTCTTGTGGCTGCTAATATATAGCTTGAGACTTTCAGAAACTTTTTAAAATTTTAGCTGTCTTCCTACCAAATCTTCTTCTTGACATTGTCTAGATGACTCCAAGAAAGTTTGCATGATAGAATGGAAGTAGATCTAAACTGTAAAACCAGTAACCTATGTCTTAGTGTTAGTTCAAACAGATGAGAAATCTGAGAGCATACTCCACATCAAACGAGTTCCAGCATCCCCTGAGCCCCAACTTGTATGATATTGAGAGCTCTCCTTTTCTTCACATGTTAAAAAATCAGCGGAAATTTAAATTGATCTAAATGGTCTTCAATTTTCATCCAAGCTAATGTTCCATGCCTCACATAACACAAAAAGTTACATATCCTAATTAAAATTCAGCATTTGTTAAACAATCAGACTTCAGGCAATTTTTCAAATGCCTCATTTTTCTGTTGACTACAATGTCAGATAATTTGAAATAATTTGCAGTCAAACTAAGAGACTACAAGTTATTTGAAACAATCTAAATACCATACCTGAGAAAGCCAGACTTTGAAAATCATACTTTACTACTTGTATTGAGAAGTTGGTTAAGGGGTACAAATGTATAGATAGAAGGAATAAGTTCTACCATTCAGTACAGTAGGGAAATTTTAGTTAACAATATCTTGTTTTGCATTTCAAAATAGCTAGAAGAGAACTGTAATATTTCCAACACAAGATGGTCATAGACATCCCAGTTACCTTGATTTGATCATTACACATTGCATACAAGCATCAAAATATCACAGATACCCCCAAAATATGTATAACTACTATACACCAACTTTTTAAAATCTCTAGACCCTGATTAAAATGTGCCTGAATGTGACAGTTGGGCCACATGCTGACACCTTGTTGTGTCCTCTGGCTTGCTGTTTCCTTAGAAAGCACTCTAAACCATACACCAAGAATTCTTTAGACAGTCTAGAAATTTCTACATGTAACAAAATTCTATCTGAATTAATTCAGCAATGAGGAGAAATTGAAAAATGTATAGACCCTCTCGATGTTTAAATAATTCTTCCAAAATGAAAAGTGAGTTTTCCTGATTAAAGAATTTTCTGCCCCAGTTATCGACCTGAAATATATGTAAGAATTCAGTTTTAATTTTTGGATGGTACATAAAATTTATGAAATTTTTTATTATATACTCACCTTGACAATTACGTTCTAATATATTGGCATTTAATAATAACATAGTGAAATAAGCTCAGGTTCATATTAGAATAAAGTAGGATTTCTGTGCAAATTAATACCATAAAAATTATAAGAAATGCATTATTTTACCCAAAAGAACAAATACTTTTAGTTACCAATGTCCATGCGTTTAATTCATATCTATATACTGATGACTACCAAATCTATAACTGCAGCTCAGCTCACTTGCCTACACTTCAAAACTATATATCCACCAGCCTATGTTCATCACAATGGGCTATACCTCTTACCATTCAAACTTAATACAGCTATACTAGAAACTCCTAGACGCCTATCCCAAATATTTATTCTTTTTTTTCTAATAACAGAAACCTTGATCTTTGGTTAGGCACACAGCCACCAGAAAAATCAAATAGTGCCCCTTGTCCATAAGAGTCAGCATATGAATACTTTCTTTCCAATGGAGTCTCTATTTTGTTGGCTGGAATCCTAATGTGCATTTCATAGTTAGAATACATATGTGCTAGTTGAAGCATGGATTGCCACAGTAGACCAGGATTTGGAAGACACGTAATCAAGCTGGTAGGACAGCACAATAGTAGGAGACTAGATTCCTAATTATTTTGTGAACCTCCCTATTAGCTCTTACCTGCCTATCTCCAGAATTGTTTCACATTAAACGGAATAAAATTCCATTTTATGTAATCCCCTGTTACTCTGGGTTTCCTGTCACTCGTAGCTAAATCCGATACTATTATAATATGCAAAACAGATTGTTGCAATCAAGGGAAATTGCCACTTTCACATAATGATCTTTGGGAAAAGAGGACATGAAGACGTGTATTTACTAATTCTCTTGCAAATTCTGTATATGTGAAAGATGGTAAACTATTTTAACTTAATTTTCTCTAGCAGCATAATTTTGAGATACAATTAATAATTATAATATTAATATATCAGAAGACCAAGGTTCTAGTCAAGAGCCTCTTTGTAACAAGCTCTATGACTTTAAGCAAATGACTTCCATTTTCTTGTTTAGTGGATAAAGACTTGGGCTTAGGCATCAAACAGCTTGGGATTAGTCCTAACTGCCTGTTACTAGTTAGGTGGCTCTAGGAAAGTTACTCACCTTCTCTAAATCTACATTTCCCCACCCACAAATGGAGATAATGATAAGACCTAACTCAGAAGATTCTTCTGAAGATTAAATAAAGTAACACAAGGGAGATGGCACCATGCCAGGCACACAGTAAATACACCACAAAAGTTGGCCATTGTCATTATTTCCTCTTTCATAATGAAAAATTAGCTTTAAGGTGGGTTGAAAAATCCACTCAGATGCCTCACGTATGCCTAAGGGAATAAAAGACAGGAAGGTAGAGGAAGCTTCTAGCCTCTATCCCACTCCACCCACAGCAATTCTGCTCCAAACATCAAGGGTCTGCATTAAGCTTCCAGTGCAAAAAGGGATTCAACTAGTAAAGAAAACTTTAAAAAGCGTTCATCTTCGGACCCATCCAATTCAGAGATTTGAGTCAGGCAGCTGCCAGTTGTCCTACAGTTTAGTACAAGAATTCATTACCCTGTTTTTAAAAGGCCAAATATAGCTTTATTGTTGAATCAAATAATGTATCCCCAAATGCCTAATAATGACTTGAATGTACTATATAATTAAAAGATTGGTTTGAAATATTTTTAAAGTGTTCATTTATTATCTTTGGTATTTTCTGAATTAGGAAAGTTGAAACACTAAGATAAAGTAATTTTTTGAAAGCCAAGGTAAGTTATCTGTGCTTCACCAAAGAAGCACTTCTGATCCCAGAATCATGACCTGGCAGAAGCCAGGACTAGAAAGCACAGGGCTGATGTGAGAACAGGTGTGCTCAGATTCCAGCTCTACCAGTCACTTAGCAGAGATTTGGAAGTCTCAGTCTTCCTAATTTTTGGTTTCCCTAGCTGTAAAGTCATGGTAATATTAAAATTATCTGATTCTCAGTGTTGTAAAGTACCAAATGAGAAAACATATGTTGAAATTACATATGTAGCATATTTACGTCAAATAATATTTTTATTGTTACGATATGTACCCTCTCTAAATTTTACTAACTGTGACCTGACAAAATTTAATGTAAAGTAACTAATTTTAAATGGGCCACATATTTTCATACAAGCTTAAATGGTAATAGTAATAAAAATAACAATAATATGTCTTGGGTCATGTAGCCACCGGTGTTAATTTAACTCTTCTGTTTGACTGTATTGACATCAGTATACAGGTGAAGTGGGAGGACAGACTACATCTCTGTCTTGACTGACTCACCCATTCCTGTGGCCACATGCAAATTATCTCATCTTTGAGCATTTTGTTCCCTTCCTTTAGAGAATGCATACAGCAATGCTTCCTATCCACTGGCCTTAGAGGTCTACTTTAAAGATCATCCATAACAATGTTTCTTGAAAATGTAAATTTTTCACCTTTTAAGACAGTAAGTCAGTTAAATCAAAGTAGTAAAAGAACCACTTAGGCAGACAAAGGAGACATTGTGAGGGTGGTATAGCACTGTGATTAAGAGCATAGGCTTTGAAGTCAGATAGACCCTGGTTAACCATCAGTTCTGCCTTTTATTATTACCCCTGGGCAAAAAAAAATTACCTGTCTGAGCCTCATTTTTCTCATCTGTAAAATGAGTATGATAATATAACCATAGGTTGATATAAAGTTTAAATGCATATGATGTTTTAAGACAGTAGTTGGCAGATAGTACATGTGAAACTAAAGATAGCAATTATTATTTTGTCCTGCACTGACTCACAGTTCAACTTTAAACAAAGTGCTAAATCCCTCTGTGTCTGCTTTTGCAGTTTCAAAACAGAGATATCATCTGACATTTTCAGATAAAAGGTTGCAAAATAGAATTTAAATATGCCTGTATAGTACTTTGGATCCCCCTAAGATTAGTTCTATCATCTTAGAATTGCAATTCTAAAAATTGCCCTACCACACAGGCCATGTGTGTACATGGGAGAAGAAGGTTGGGCTTACAGGTTCTGGCATGACTCAGTGTTTCTGCAGCCCATTTTTCTTTCTCAACCTCTTAAAACCTTCCTTCTCTCTAGTCCAGTCATTTTAAACCTATTAAAACCTGAAAATGTGAAAGTATTCTTCACAGTTCTTAGCTATTATCTTCAATGAGAGCAGATCCAAAGGAGCGCACTTGAAGAACTTCTCTGTGCAGTTTCTCTAAACTCTAACCCTGATAGAGCCATAAAACAAGCCAGAGAACCCATTTTACCTCCTACCCTTCCAGAAGACCTGCTTCACGACTGTTCAATCTACCTCTTTCACAAGCACTAAAACCATCAGGCATGCTTATAAATCTCAGTGCTAATACGGAAACACACGACACTGCTATTTTTCATGTTTCTCTGGATTGTTTCTATTTATTTTCTCTTTAAGTTGAAGCAATGACATATTTTTGGAGGAAAGCAGACAACAATGACAGAACAACAAAGATTCATTTAGCAGACAGCTACTGCAGACCAGTGAATTAGTTCCATGAAATATTGCTCTAAGATAAACATGATTTTCACAATATAGCAAATGTAATCCTTTTTAGAAAACAGAGATGATGTAGTTAAAGTGCTATACTCTGATCACCTTTGAAACAGTGCAGAAAAGATAGATCACTGTTTATTTAGTTTAAATACAAAGTCGGTTGTATAAGGGCAGGCAATGCATTTTTTAAAATGTTTTTAAAACTTATAAATGAAAGTAAAATTACACCTCCACACTTCTTTCCTCAGCATAAATGTGCATGATTTCATATTAGTCTTTACATCTTCTGGTTTTTTAAATCTATGCACCAACATTTTCTCCATGTGTGGATATGTGTGCGTTTATTTTCTATTTCTCTGTTGCCATCTATTTTCTCTGTAAACTTCTCAAAGATTCTACTTATAGCTTCCTACACATGGTAGACAATATGTTACAGGGAAAAAAGTATATTTTAAAATCAGAAAGATCAGAATTAGATTCTAGATTCGACACTTACTAACCGCCTAGACAATCTGAGCCACAGGTGCTTCATCTTTTAAAAGGAATGAAAGCAATAACCACTTATCAAAACATTACCAAAATTTAATGAAATTGCATTTTATAAAATACACAATATATAGTAGGTGCTCAACAGAGAGTTTTCTTCCACACAGGACTTAGTATGCAATGAGAACTCACTAAAAGTTGTTATATGGATCAGGGCTGATTCTAGTTGAAGGAGAAGTGTGAGCACATGCTAAATACTTATAACACAACCATATAGCAACTCTGGGCCTAAGCCTAAAAGGAGTGTCTCTTCAGTATCCATACTGACTAATGTCACAGGGTAACACTGCTACATTAATTTTATACCAAGGTTTTTCCTGTAAACAAATAGATTTTTATGATCCATATAAAGTCATCTTCCTTATCAGACACAAACTAAGCAAAAAATGTCTATGTTCTCCCCCCTCAGTTTCCCCTCCTTTCTGAAATTATCCTCTCTTTCTTAATCATCACCATGTTGCATAAATGAGTACTCTTCTCCCTTGAAGGGAAAGGTGACTGGGAAAGAGCACCTCCCATTAAGATGTAATTACACCAATTTAAATAAAACAGAACTACTTTTAACAACTGGCCTATTTCATTTATGGTTTAATTTCTTTCAGGCTTACACATTTCTTTTTCTTTTTCTATGTCTTTACACCATTAGTGCTTGTCAAACTTTAGGGTAAATAAGAATTACATTGTGTAAATGTTTTAAATATGATTTCCATGTCTCAACCAGAGATTCATTAGAATTTCTGGGATGAGAGCTGGAGATTCCTATTTTTAATAAGCACTGTAATGCAGGGGTCTACGGACCACACTTTTAGAGACAGTGCTTACCCTATTAGGTAAAAATTAAAGTTGTCCATTTTGTCTCATTTGAATATTACTCATTTCACCTTCAGCCATCTCAATATGTGTGGATGTCGATGCCTATAAATTCAGTCTGCTTATTTTCACTTCTTCTCAGTGGTTGCTGATAAATACAGTTAGTATACACCCCTATGACCAATAAATATATTTAATGGACACATTCTTCTCTTCCCAAATCTGTTCTCTATAAACTTATGCCTGATAGAGTTTTCTTTAACTTTCTGTTGTGTGTTTATAAAATTCATGTGTTGATCTCTTCATGCTCAAAGAATAGTCCAAAATAAGAGTTTGGAGAAAATGGCAGTACAAGAAGAATAATGCTTACCCAGTTTAAATTTTTTCCTACCCTTAAATTCTAAAAAAAAACAAAAAAAACTGATTCTTATTCAGGTAGAGTCAGGGAGAAGGCTATCCGAAATCTGACTGAAAAGGAAGGAGCATGCTATTTAATAAAATTCCCCACCTGTTTCTTGTATTCTTTCTGAGTTAAAACCAATGACCTTAAGAAGAAATTGTCTACTTATATCCTAGGATTTCAATTATCCCTCTTCCTCGATAACACTCCTGTTGGCACATTTACGACAGCAAATGTGAATAATAAACTTAATCCTTTTTTGCTCTAGTACATGCTCTTAACATTTTATCTCATCTAGACCCACTCAAACATAGATGTGCTTCATCTTTCATACAATCTTCAGATCAGGAAGACGTTTTTGTTTGTTAGATGGTTGGTTTTGGTTTTTGGTTTTTTCCATGAGAGATTATTTGCATCTATTCTGCAGCAGGATTTTTAAAAATAGTCACATCTTTTGCTTCAAATTAGAGACTACACTCAGAAAAATTCACTCCAGTATTCCCACATTATACCGCCTCTACACATTTATAACCAAATTCCAAATCTCTGACATATACCATAGATAAGGCTTGTAATCTATTTAGTATGTTAAGTTTATTGGAAGCTTTCTTGAAGCACTGTTTTCTATAGTAAAGTCAATGAGAAAAAGAGAATAGGATACAAAACCATCATTGGTTGTAAAGAAATACTTGCAAAAGGCAGGGAGCCTTGATAAGCCCAACAAAATGTTTAGTATCCGTAGCTTTTAGTTGCTTCATGGATATGTACAGAAGAGTATTAAACTTCTAATAACAAGTATGTAGAACTTTCAACTGATGACAGAACCTGTTTTTCCATGTTAAATGAAGACCACAGATTTCATTCAAAGTTTAACATTTTCAAACTGTTCTCAAAGTAAAAACTAATAAAAAATGATATGCCAATATGAGAATCAGAGAAAATAAATTTTAATCAGGAGATAAAATTATTTTCAAAGACAAAACTAGTACCCCAAAACCTTGTTACTGATTAGTTTCTAACTTTGAAAGAAAACCTCAAAATGATCATGACTTATCTTTGGAGAAGTTGACTATGGCCAGGCATATCAGTGGATTTATTTTTTAAATCAGGCTATAATAATTTAGTCATATTATTTTCTTCAGTTGTTTCTGATTCTTTCAAAACATCTAGAGTTTTTAAATTTTTAACTACTTACAGAAATAAACATTTTTTTCTGCATTATTTCAGACTTTTTTTCATGTACACCTTCTAAAATAAAAGTGTTTCTCAATAAGACAAACAAAGCCCAAGCTAAAAATATGTTATATCTTTCTTGAAACATATGGCCAAACTAACTAAAAGACAGCTGTCAAACACCATGTACCTTTACATTGTGTAGAAACCTTCTAAAAGTAAACAGAAAAACACATGGGATACAACAAAAGAGGACAGGAAACACTAATACAGAAAGAATAGAAATCTTTTTCTTGACATAATTTTATGTAAAATCTCAAAAATATGTTTCTATATTTAAAAAAATAATAAACTGTAGATCTACACATTCCTTGGTGTGGCTCATACTGTTTTAAACTAAAAGTTACCTTAAGACTTCTAGAAAGAAAAAGGGAACTAACTCACCGATACATCATTGCCAACCAGCAATGAAGAGTCCTGTGAAGGTCGAGGTCTACATCCAAGTGTGTGAATCCAGCTCTATCAATGACTTTGTGGGCTGAATTGAAGTGAGGAAATAAGTCACTGATGATCTCAACAGAACCAGTCTGACAAGTCTTGGCTGGTGTAGTGGGGACTATATGTGACTAGCAGGACAAGGACAAATTTTACAGGGAGCAAGAGCAAAAAATAAATTTATAATTTATTGTTTTAAGATAATTTCTTTTAAGTATTAGTGTAAACCAGATTTTTTAGAAAAGTCAGACGTATAAATTTGGAAAGAAATTTTAAAACTATCTTGCTTGACCTTCTCTTGTTTACAGAGAAGAAACTGAGGTTTAATTAAGTTAAATGACTTGGTCAAAAACCAAATAGTTATTAAATTGCCAAGCCAGGACTGACATTCATATTTTTTAAACTAGCCTGACACAATTTGCATTCGATTATGTACATAATAAAAATTTCACTTTGGTTTTAACTATGTTAGCCATTGAAAATACACTAGAGATTAGAAAAGCATTAATATTTTTAAATTATGTGGCATCATTCTTCTAGAAAAATCAGTTAGTTTGCAAATGTCAACCCATACTTAAGACGTTATATTTCTTTCATTATAGTGGAGACAGGCATATCAACTCACGCTGAATCACTACTGTCTTATTTCTAGGGTGAAAATTACATTTTTTTAAACGTGTGCTCACATACTATGCAAATATCTGTGTGTTTGTGTTAGGTATAATCTCTAAATTGCTTTCCCTAATCCTTACAAAACAGAGTAGGTGTTTCTCCTCTGTGCTTTCATGGTATCATAATACTTACCTCATTATACTAGAAATTTTATTAATTGTATCTCAACTCCACAAGGTTGTGAATTCTTAACAGACTGAAACCCTCTTCCTAGCATATTCAGGCTCTCAAAAATATGCATAAAAAGAATGAGTAGAGGGCAGGTTGCAAGGAAAGGAGGAGAAAAAGAGGGGGTATAACCCATCCTAAAAAGCACCTTAAAAATATTGTTTAATTTCATTACATATCCATTTAGCCAACAGCTCACCTAAACAGATGCAGGAGTTGGAATTTATGTAATGTGTGGGATCAGACGGCCAAGAATTGGAATCATTCACTAGCAGTAACCCAAGAAACCTCTGTGCTGAGGCATACTGTGCTAGGGGCTACCAACATATATCCTTTTTATTCTGGTCACTAGGTCACTTATCCTGATGAATAGCATGGATATTTATTTACTTAAAGTCATTCAATATATAGTATTAGGTTTCTGTATACTCATTTAAAAATTACACTTTAGCCAAAAATAAAGAGGCAATAATAACAGTAAAAACTTCTGGGTTATGAGATTAAGCTGTTCTTATACAGCCTTTAACAAAGTGAAATCTCTGCCAATGAAATGTTAATATGGTTTAATAATACTATGTTCTATTTTATACTCACATTTTATGAAAATATTGATAATACTTTTGTTTTCAAAGGAAAACAGATTCCCTCTCAGTGTAACTTTGGGCCAAGACTTGCCAGACTTATTTTAACAAAATCTCAAGACATTTGTTTCTTTCACAAAATCAAGATTTCAAATTCAAATAAATTCTTTATATAGGCCTATGGACCTGTATACTTAGGGTAATATATAACCTAGAATTGTAGATACAGAAAATGAGAGGGCTATCATGAATTTTTTTAAAACTCTGTGAGTATAAGCTACAATTTGTAGAAAATTAAGAGATTACGCATATGTAAATAAAGGACAAGTGAATGTCAGACTAAAGATATTAAAAATATGTCTTCCTTGCTATATTAATGGCCTTTGTTCAGTCTGCTCAATGGGCATTGCAGTGTATATTATCAAATTTTATGATATATCTTACACTTTAGTAGAAATTTGAATGGCAAGGAAAGAAGAAGGAATGAAACATTAGAGTCATAATTTTGTCTTCCAAAAGTTCGAAAAAGCAAAAGTTTGTCTTTCATTCAAATTTTTGTTGCTGTTTTTTCTAAAACCATAAATTTTATTCTGCAATACTTTTGTCCTAAACTACAGTGTGAAGAAAATGTTTTCAAAGAGTTACTCTTCTTTTTGTGTGTTGGTCTGTGTTCCCTGTGCCATTCTGTGCAATGTCAGGAACAGTCAGGAGAAATATATTTGTGGACTTGAGTCTGTTAGAAATCCACAGTAGATATCTTACATTGCATAATAAGTAAAATAGCAATGTGACCACAGACATTTTTATCACCAACAAATTATTCTACAGTCCTTTTTATACTTAGCAATGTCAAAGCAATGAGGCATCTTATGGCTTTAAACTAGAAAAGTATAGTTCCCAGGTGGCTAGTCATAGATGATTTTTATCATTATTTGAATATCTCCTAGCTTGAACAAATGTCTTTTATACCTGATAATACATAAATGCCTATGTATAATAATAATCTGATTAATTTATGGAAGCCCTTAAACTTATACTTTAGCTATATTTCCATAATGCTAAGGCAATCCTTTTATTGGTCAGTTTATTGGGATGTACATTACAGACTGGCCAATATTGTTAAACTAGTGAATTAACTAGGTGTCCAGGTAAACACAGCTATTGTCATTTGTGAATCCATTCCCTTCTATCATGTGTTGTTTTGAAGGTACCCATGCACTTTATTTTGTTTAAGCTGAGAAAACAAAGAGGATCAATATAATTAATTAGCATTTAGAGACAAGCTGTCACTACTCTGTCACTGACTCTCCTTTTGCTTGTGCTACATTCTTACCCAAAATATTACCTCTCTTCCCTATTCTTCTATAAGATGTTCTACAACTGATATAAGTGTCTTCATAATGCTGGAGATAATTTTTCTGGACATTGATGTGAGGATCTGCTAAGCTTTTCAATATATAATGGTACATATAATAAAAACCAAAGATAAGGTTTTTAGAATTAACTGACAGTAATAATGTTAAAATAATCCTATTATTGTTCAATTTATTGGAATATACAGTTTAGCCTGGTTAATGATATTAAACTAATGAATGAAGATAACATTTTGGGGGCCATTTTAAGTCTCTTTTTTTTTTTCTTTTTTTTTGCAAGTAGTCTTTGAAAAACACCTCAAAGATTAATCAATTTCATGTTAGGAGATCAACTTTCAGTCATCTGAACCAACTTTTCCTAGCACATGAACCAAATTTATTTACCTATACTCCATTTCTTTACAAATAGACAACGCCCCTAAAATATAAAATATACTGATAAAATAAGGTTCAAATTCAAGAAAAAACCGAAGTGGAATACATTGTACATATTGTATAAGAGACTTGCTCTGACAGAGCTGCAAATTTGGCTTTGAACTTGCCGATAGCAAGAATAACAAGGGAAACTTAGGGAGTTTCACAATTCTCATTATTTAAAAGAAAGAAACAAATCAAGAGAGAATTTTTCCTGCCACTAAGTTGATGGAGAAATTTCTCATATGGAGATGACACTGAGCAACGCGTTGAATAATATCAGCAATATTTTTACCAACAAATAGAAGAGAATTTTATAAACTTTCTTATGATAATTCAAAGAAGCCTGAGAATAAAATTTTGAAGTTAAAGTTGGTGACAGATTTTTAAAGGAGATATATTTTTGTGGTCAGGTGCATATACTTCCAGTGGTCTAGCTTGATTCAAAGGCAGAATTCAAAGTACTTAGACAAAGGGTACAATGTTTCTTAGATGAACTTTCTTAAATATTACTTCCTTAGAAGACCTTTTTAGAAACGGAATAGGAGAAAGTATGAGTTTATATTCCTGACAAGGGCCTGAAGAATTTGTATTATATGTTGCTGATGGAAGGAAGATTGACTCACTTTATTATAAGAAAGAAGCAATTGACAGACTCTCTACTTTATCAAAACTGAGAAGCCAGATGAAATTTTACATTTAAATAAAATGTCCCACGAAATTATAATTTTCGATTAGTGCATTTTGATTTCTCCATAGATGTGCTGTGGTTTATAGTGTTATGTTTCATTGTTTGGTTACTCATGTAATGTGTCTCAACAAGAGCATAGATACAAAAGAGTTATATTTTTTATTCTAATCAAGGCTTCCAATCATGATTGTCAAGTCTTATTCTCGTGTCCTTTAATGAATATCCTAGCAAATCTTCTAACTGTCCTTTTTTTTTTTTTTTGAGATGGAGTCTCGCTCTGTCGCCCAGGCTGGAGTGCAATGGCTTGATCTCTGCTCACTGCAAGCTCCGCCTCCTGGGTTCACGCCATTCTCCTGCCTCAGCCTCCCGAGTAGCTGGAACTACAGGCGCCCGCCACCACGCCCGGCTAATTTTTTGTATTTTTAGTAGAGACGGGGTTTCACCGTGTTAGCCAGTATGGTCTTGATCTCCTGACCTCGTGATCAGCCCTCCTCGGCCTCCCAAAGTGCAAATCTTCTAACTTTCTACCAGTTTCAGTTATTTGAAGTTTATTTTTGTCCAGTTTAAAACTTGGATTGTGAAACTAACATAAATATGATTACCTTTCTTTGCCCTCAACACAAACTGTGAGGCTGACTGCTTGGAGTAGAGAAGTTGGAAGGAGATCTGACTCTGAGACAACCATCCTCACTCCCCGCTGCTGAACTCCTCTAGTTTTGGGGTCAGAGAGAGAAGACAAAGGTGGTAGAGATCTTACATAATCAGTTACATGTCTGCGTGAGAAAGTGTCCTAGGTTTTTCTCTGGTTCAATCCAGTTTTGTCTATTGCTAACAGATGGTGGTGTTGAGAAATCTGTGCTGGTGGTGTGCTTGGTTTTCTATAGACACTCTTCGTCTTTGCTTTGCCCCCTCACTCACTGAGGAATCCCTCAGAGAAAAGCCTGGACCCTGACAGCAGACCATGCCCCTAACTGCTTCCCCAGCTGGAGTGTCTCCTCACTACCAGCTATTCTGCTCCCTTCCTTACCACCATGCTGTTTTGCATTGAGCCATAGTAACCTCTGAGACCATCTTCTAAATGCTCCAAGGGCCACAAAAGACCAGGATGGGGATAAAGGAGGGAATTTAACCCCTCTCAAGAACAAACTCTGAACCACAGTTCCTTCTAACTCTGTTACCATAAGCTACTCCAGCAATTTCCTCTCCTTCAGAAATGTTAAGACTAGCAGCTGTTTTGGATTCAGGGGTGAGTCCTAAACTTCAGGTAGCAAATACACAACTCCGCGGAGACATTCGCCCCCGCTCCGCCATAGTAGCTCCAGAGGGACTGGTGTGTTTAGTAAATTACCATCCAGCCAGCTGAGAAATGAATTGCCAGTCTTCCTTCCCACAAACTCGCACACAATCTCTAAACATTCTCTGATGGACTCCCATTAATTGGCTTCAGCAAGAAAAAAATAATAATCCTTCTGTTCCCCTTGAGAAGAGGAGTAACCTTTCCCTGTGAGCACTGTCTGCTGACTTGCACTGTTCTCTCTCCAGTTTTCTCTTTATGCGTATCCAGAGCTAGGTGCTAGTTGCTGGTAGGAGAGAATTTTTTTCGCCTCGTAACATACCCTTTAGTAGGTGGGGACAGTGTCTGGCCTCAATATTTGGCATCTATTAAGAGCTTCTCATAGAAAGGGGGTTACTTAGCTCTTCTTATTTTCAATTATGGGCAACAAAAAAAGTCCCACTCAACATCTTATAATCTTATTTACAAATGTATCTTAAGCTTCCTTTCAGCATGATGTCTCATCATTTTGATTGAGTCATTAAATGTATCTATTATTCATCCAAAATTATTTGACTACTTCTACCT
Source organism: Homo sapiens (assembly GCF_000001405.40). NCBI lineage: Eukaryota > Metazoa > Chordata > Mammalia > Primates > Hominidae > Homo > Homo sapiens. The sequence goes on along the minus strand of NT_167250.2, from coordinate 135,403 downwards.
CATCTTCGAATACTAGATCTTACTTCACGCCACGATGGGCCTTCTGTTTACTCTTGAACCCCTGAATTCAGTTCTGCCTCCTGGCCTTTATTCTGCTGTTCCCACTTTCTAGAATTCATTTCCTGTTGATTTTCCCAGCATTCACTCTCATTTCATTCATATCTCTGCTCAAATATCATCTCCTCAAAAGAGTGTAAATCTCCCCATCTATAACAGCTTGCCCATTATTATTCCTTATTAGTCTCTATCCCTTTAGCCTGCTTTCTTTTTCTTCAAAGTAGGTAGTAATGCTTAATATGTTTATGTATATTTGTTCCTCTTGTTTATTGTCAGTTTACTTCATTCAGATGAAAGTCCCTTAAAACTGAGAACTTCAGCTTGTCCTCCTTGGCTCTATCCCCAGAATCTAGAATTCAGGCTCTCAAAAATACTTGTTTGAACGAATGAATTATTTATTAAGCATTTCTTTGTATGCAATCCTTTTATGTCACAGTGGGAGACTACTGATGTCATTGGATAGCAGGTCCCACACTCACATAAAAATGATAATAGGTGACACTCTATGGAGTGTTTGCCTATGCCATACCTTTTTTCAAGCACTTCACATATATTTATTGATTTAATGCCCACAACATCTTACAAACATTATTGTTATCAGCATTTTAAAAATAAGAGAACTGAGATACAAGGGCTTTTTTAACTTAACCCAAGTCTCATACTAGTAGGTGGCTAAGCTGAGATTTGAACCCAGTCAATCTAGTTCTAGTTCATAGGCTGGACTGTTTACTGCCATATTCTAATATTTCATCTCTAACTTCTAGACTGGTGGTCTTCAAGTCTTAAAGTATTTTTGATAAGTCACTCAACTTAAAACTTAAAAAGCCACCATTTTTTAATCTGTAAGGCTAACCAGAGAAAGAATGTATGTAAATTATCTAAATTGTCTGGGAAGAGACATTCACTGTTCAACATCTAATCAGAGATACAAAGTCTTACTTGCACTTGCTTGTTTGCTTTTTTTGGGGGGGTGGGGGTGCAGAGTCTTGCTCTGTCACCCAGGCTGGAGTGCAGTGGCGCAGTACAGTGGCACGATCTCAGCTTACTGTAACCTCCACCTCCTGAGTTCAAGCAATTCTCCTGCCTCAGCCTCCCAAGTAATTGGGATTACTGGTGCATGCCAACACACCCAATTTTTTGTATTTTTAGTAGAGTTGGATTTTCACCATGTTGGCCAGGCTGGTCTCGAACTCCTGACCTCAAGTGATCCACCTGCCTCGGCCTCCCAAAGAGCTAAGATTACAGCATTAAGCCACTGCACTCAGCCTTACTTGCTTTCTTTTTCAAATTCATTTACCTATAGTTTTATGTAACACCTCATTCTTAAAAAGAGAGATGGAAGTGAATCTTTAAAAATATTGATGATTTAATGGATGATAGCAAAAAAAGATATTTTTCTAATACTAGAAGTGTCCAAATTAAATGAAGTTAATTGAACTGCAGAACCTTGGCATAGTTATTTAAATATGACCATATTTGACACATATGTTGCCCTGTTTGGAAGTCATCAAATGATTTTGGTTACAATAAAGAAAAGCAGGCTGGGCGCGGTGGCTCACACCTGTAATCCCAGCGCTTTGGGAGGCCGAGGTGGGTGGATCACGACGTCAGCAGATCGAGACCATCCTGGCTAACACGGTGAAACCCCGTCTCTACTAAAAATACAAAAAAATTAGCCGGGTGCAGTGGCGGGCACCTGTAGTCCCAGCTACTGGGGAGGCTGAGGCAGGAGAATGGCATGAACCCAGGAGGCGGAGCTTGCAGTGAGCTGAGATAGTGCCACTGCAGTCCGGCCTGGGCGAAAGAGTGAGACTCCATCTCAGAAAAATAAATAAATAAATAAAGAGAAAAGCTAACTTAGATTGTATTCCCTCCTAAGAAGGAAACTTTGTTCTTATTCATCTTTAATTCCTCATACCATCTAGCACAATGCCTAGAACAGCAGAGGCACTACAAAGTAGCTGCAGAATTACCAGAAATATTACTTTAAAATAAGTTGTTCTGCCTGTTTAAAACCAGACCTAAGTGAACACCTTTTGGGTTTCCTCTAAGATCACAAACAAAACTATTTTAATCTCTGGAAGCCACAGTTTCCTGTTCAACACCTAGCTTACTACAGTCATATGTTTTCCTGCCTATTCGTGACTCTTATTTTGTTTGGGCCTAATAAGGTTATAATGAAATACACAAGAAATAATAAGACCTGCCCTATGTGTGGACTATCTGGAAGTATGAGACACAAATTATTAAAAGTAGAACTCTTGAACAGGCTATTGGAATGGACATGCTGTTTCCTTATCATCTAAAAAGACTTAGGGGAGAATATCCCATATTAAGAATAACTTTATTTAATGTTTCATGCCTAAAAAGAACAAAAGAAATGGCTGAAGTTGGAAAAGAAAAAAATCCAGACAAAAACAATCCTTTGCTTAAATAACTTGACGTGCAGGAAAAACACATCCATGGGAGGGCATGGAAAAGGTCAGCACAGGCCTTTCTTCATCTGTTTTCCCATTCTCTATTCCTCAGCCCTGATGAACTGTGTGTCCTCTATCCCCACCTTAGAGGACTTCAATAATGGTTGGGTGTGTCTCTTTCTTTTTTTTATTTATTTTTATTTTTTTATTATACTTTAAGTACTAGGGTACATGCACACAACATGCAGGTTTGTTACATATGTGTACACGTGCCATGTTGGTGTGCTGCACCCATTAACTCGTCATTTACATTAGGTAGATCTCCTAATGCTATCCCTCCTCCCTCCCTCTACCCCATGACAGGCCCTGGTGTGTGATGTTCCCCACCCTGGGTCCATGTGTTCTCATTACTCAATTCCCACCTATGAGTGAGAACATGCGGTGTTTGGTTTTCTGTCCTTGTGATAGTTTGCTCAGAATGATGGTTTCCAGCTTCATCCATGTCCCTACAAAGGACATAAACTCATCCTTTTTTATGGCTGCATAGTATTCCATGGTGTATATGTGCCACATTTTCTTAATCCAGTCTATCACTGATGGACATTTGGGTTGGTTCCAAGTCTTTGCTATTGTGAATAGTGCCACAATAAACATACATGTGCATGTGTCCTTATAGCAGCATGATTTATACTCCTTTACGTATATGCCCAGTAATGGGATGGCTGGGTCAAATGGTATTTCTAGTTCTAGATCCCTGAGGAATCACCACACTGTCTTCCACAATGACTGAACTAGTTTACACTCCCACCAATAGTGTAAAAGCATTCCTATTTCTCCACATCCTCTCCAGCACCTGTTGTTTCCTGACTTTTTAATGATTGCCATTCTAACTGGTGTGAGATGGTATCGCATTGTGGTTTTGATTTGCATTTCTCTGATGGCCAGTGATGATGAGCACTTTTTCATGTGTCTGTTGGCTGCATAAATGTGTTCTTTTGAGAATTGTCTGTTCATATCCTTTGCCCATTTTTTGATGGAGTTGTTTGATTTTTTTCTTGTAAATTTGTTTAAGTTCTTTGTAGATTCTGGATATTAGCCCTTTGTCAGATGGGTAGATTGCAAAAATTTCCTCCCATTCTGTAGGTTGCCTGTTCACTCTGATGGTAGTTTCTTTTGCTGTGCAGAAGCCCTTCAGTTTAATTAGATCCCATTTGTCAATTTTGGCTTTTGTTGCCATTGCTTTTGGTGTTTTAGTCATGAAGTCCTTGCCAATTCCTATAACCAGTGGAACAGAGCAGAGCCCTCAGAAATAATACCACACATCTACAACCATCTGATCTTTGACAAACCTGACAAAAACAAGAAATGGGGAAAGGATTCCCTATTTAATAAATGGTGCTGGGAAAACTGGCTAGCCAAATGTAGAAAGCTGAAACTGGATCCCTTCCTTATACTTTATACAAAAATTAATTCAAGATGGATTAAAGACTTAAATGTTAGACCTAAAACCATAAAAACCCTAGAAGAAAACCTAGGCAATACCATTCAGGGTGTGTCTCTTTCTGGATTACTCAATGGGAAATGAGTCTATTTATTTATTTATTTATTTATTTTCAGGCCAAGTTATGAGACTGGCTAATTTTTTTTTGTACTCCTTTTTTAGGGATGCGGTCTTGCTATGTTGCCCAGGCTGATCTCGAATTCCTGGGCTCAAGCGATCCACCTGCCTCAGCCTCCCAAAGTGCTGCAATTATAGGCGTGAGCCACCGCGCCAGGCAGGAAATGAGTATCATGTCACATTTATCTTTCAGAACAAATGCCAACATCACTACCACTACCCATTTCTTTTATTGAGAAACAAGAAAGAAAAAAATGAACCCAAACTTTCTGAATACTGAACAGTATCATTTTTTAATGATTAAGTAATCAAAATAATCAGTTGAATCTAAAAATAAAATAAAATTTGAATCAATTTAATTCTTAAATTTTTTAAAGTATCATTGTGTTTCAGTATAATACACAGTTTGTAGATTAGAAGGGAAAATGATTAATTTATTTCTTCAGGTAGGAAGGCATAGGAGAGGCAGGTAGGGATGTTCCACATGTGATATGACAGCAAAGGGCTGGCCCAGGCGTGGTGGCTCACACCTGTAATCTCAGCACTTTGGGAGGCCCAGGCAGGCGAATCACCTGAGGTCAGGAGTTCGAGACCAGCCTGGCCAACATGGTAAAACCCCTGTCTCTATTAATAATACAAAAATTAGCTTGGTGTGGTGGCATGTGCCTGTAATCTCAGCTACTTAGGAGGCTGAGGCAGGAGAATAGCCTGGGAGGCAGAGGTTGCAGTGAGCAGAGATTGCACCATTGCACTCCAGCCTGAGTTACAGAGTGAGACTCCATCTCAAAAAAAAAAAAAAAATAGAAAAAATAGAAAAGAAAACAAAAGAAAAAAGAAAACAAAGGACTAAGGGAAGAGAGAAAAGGAAGCAATGACTCCGCCTGGCAGAACACTTCCTTTCTGTGAAGGAAACATAGTTATTTTCTAAACTGCACTCCCGAGTAATCAAACTCTTCATGCTTGTCCCCTCTAGATACATCACTGTAAGCTCCCATACTGAATGCTGCTTTTGACAATCCCTTTATTTCTAAGAAAACATCCTTCGTGGTTGAGCAAGAGTAAGTTTTCATTCAAATATAGAAAATTACCACCACTTACTTTTCCTTCCTATTGTTATACTGCATCTCATTCCTGGAAGACTTCCCTCATCTGCTTAGGATACTGCTTTGTGCTTTATAGGATGCAGTACTTCATCCAATGTAGCACTTATTTGCCCATTTTATAATTGCCTAAATATTTTTTGTGTTCCTGATGTCTTTAGTCTTCTTAAACACTGAGATTTTATCCTTTTTAACCACAGTATCCCCAAGGACTAGCTAAGTGCCAGAAACATGGTTGATACTCAATAAAGATTTAGTAAATGAATGAGTACCTTGATATTTGTGACTTACAGGTCCAAGATCCTCTTGCAGAGTACTGGGCCAGGCCTGGCCAGGACTGGAAAGTGAGTATTAATCCTAAGATAGGGCATACGAGCTGAGGAGGTCTAAAATGGAAAAAACAAGAGGACTGAATTCAAAGCAAAGTCCTCAAAGAGAATGAAGTTTAAAAGTCAAGGAAATATGGTCAACGATCAAAAGGGGAGTCTTAAAAGGGAAGAAAACTATAATCTATGACTCTTAAATTGGGGACCTTGTGTTCACAGGGGTATTTGTCAGGGTGCCTCAGAGGACAAGAAGCCAAAAGACCAACATGGACCATCTTCCAACAGTGTCAAGTTTATTCAATGGTGAGTAATTTGAAATATTTTATTTCTATTAAACATTGGTAGATAGAGTAAAAAAAAAAAAATACAGACTTTAAAACTAAAAATGAGATTTCAAAATAACTATGCTTTTAGTGAGCCACTTTGTTTCATATACACAAGCTCCTAGAGTTTTGTGCTTTTCTCCTGATGTTGGGGTACTGCGGTCCAAATTTTTGAGATGCATATGTAGGATAAGAAACTGAGAAAAACCAAATTTTCAAAAAAATACTTGGGGTATAATTTAAGAGAGATCTTGGGCAATTGACAGGAAAAATATTGGGCTATCCTTAGCTAAACTTTACTGATTTGCTTTAAGGTATATTCTATGGACAAGAGAAAATGTTAAGCAGATCTTAACTTCTTTTTTAACTAAAATCAACTTTTTTTTTTCTTATTACAAACAGTGCATAAAACAAGGTTTTCCAGAAGTTGATAATTGTTGAATCTGGGTGATGGATACTTGAGGTTTCATTTTATTACTATCTTTATTTTTGGATTTATTTGAAATTTTCCATATAAAATGTTAAAGAGACAAAAAACAATGTATGCTTATTTACAGAAGAATATTATATACATGTGAGTGAAAGGAAGAAAATTAAAAAGAAATGTAAGTCATTGTCCAGATACTATCATATGACAATATTAATTTTCTAGAATATCCATAGAGAGAGATTAGATAGAGATTTTTTTAACTGTGTCCAAATCCCCAAATGCATTCCATTCTACTATCCATGAAATGGCAGTACTCTGATTTTAGAAATTGCCTTTAACTCAATGTGTGAGTCTGACTGGTCTAAAGATAATCACATTCTTTCCGCCAGCTATCAGTTTAGAAATCAGCAGTTCTAGCCAATGATAAATGAAGAGATAGTGGCTACAGACTTCAAAAATTTCCTCTTTGGTCTTTGCAGAAAGCAATAACAAGCCATTCTCTCTTTCTTCAGCATATGAATGAGAAAGCAAGTAGTAATATCCAATTGCACCTGGAATCTATCTTACAATTATTTGGGGGAACTAGCTGTGAGATAAAGCAGATATTTTGGATTACAGAGCAGAGAGACAGAAAGAACATTGTTTTTTAATAATATTGTTGGGTCACTGAATCAGTCTACCCTGAAGCCTATTTTACCTCTGCACTAGAACAATTAGATTAATAAATGTAATTATGATAATTATAAAAATAAATATATTTATTTAATTCATTTTGAATTAGATGTTCTTTTGCTTGCTGCCCAAACTATCCTTCAGCATATAGTTTACCCTTTTTGTGCACTTAATGATGATATATTATAAACATCTTTGTCAATAAATTCAATTCTACAGCTTCATTTCGAATGTGTAGTATTCCATTGTGTACCTGTACCTTTCCAACATCTCCAATATTTATTGTGCAATCTTGTGATGTCAAATGAGTGATTTTTTTTAGTGCCAAGTCTACTAAGGACACAGTCCCAATATTCATAGTCTTCCTGAAGGCAGAACTTCCCCTCCATTAAATGTTCACTATAAATAATATAGAACTATATGTTCAAAATCATTTTATTGGCAGGGCATGGTGGCTTATGCCTGTAATCCCAGCACTTTGGGAGGCCGAGGCGGGCGGATCACCCGAGGTTGGGAGTTCGAGACCAGCCTGACCAACGTAGAGAAACCCCGTCTCTACTAAAAATACAAAATTAACCGGGCATGGTGGCTCACACCTGTAATCCCAGCTACTCAGGGGGCTGAGGCAGGAGAATCGCTTAAACCTGGGAGGCGGAAGTTGCGGTGAGCCGAGATTGCGCCATTGCACTCCAGCCTGGGCAACAAGAACAAAACTCTGTCTCAAAAAAAAAAAAAAGAAAAGAAAAAGAAAACACAATCATTTTCTCTAAGTCTGGGATCTGAACACAAGATAACACTTCATTTTTGTGAACCCACGGAAAGTTTTACATAATATTGTCTTCCTTTCCACTCCTAATTCAGGAAATTTTACTACAAACTAATACCAGAACAATTTTGCCACCTCATGGAGGATGTTCACTGAGTTCCAGGCAAAGGTAGGGCTCAGTGGCAAGAAATGTTTTTATTGTTTTCCTGGCATTCTCAAGCATCACTCGGATGAATCAGAAAGTAACACAATAGCACAAAGAAACTCTGGCTATTAGAGGGAAAGACAGGTTTTTAAAACGACTCATTTAGGGATTTTTAAGCGTAATATGTCACGTTAACCAATTAACCTTTAGCTGAAGTTAACCTTTAGCTGAATTAACCTTTAGCTGAATCTTCTCAAAAAGGATACAGCTGAAATCTTCTCAAAAAGGATACAGTATTACTAGATTAAGATTAGGGTTATCTAAGGAGAATAGGTAACAATTTTCTTTTTTTCTTCTTTCTTTTTTTTTTTTTTTTTGTTGTTGTTGAGATGGAGTTTCGCTCTTGTCACCCAGGCTGGAGTGCAATGGCGCAATCTCAGCTTATGGTAACCCCTGCCTCCCAGGTTCAAGTGATTCTCCTGCCTCAGCTGCCCGAATAGATGGGATTACAGGCACCTGCCACCACGCCCAGTAATTTTTTTGTATTTTTAGTAGAGACGGGGTTTCACCATGTTGGTCAGGCTTGTCTCAAACTCCCGACCTCAGGTGATCCACCCCTTCAGCCCCCAAAGTTCTGGGATTACAGGTTGAGCCACTACACCCAGCCAGATAATAATTTTCTTTTTTCTTTTTTTTTTTAATTTGAGACGGAGTCTCACTCTGTCATCCAGGCTGGAGTGCAGTGGTGCGATCTTGGCTCACTGCAACCTCCGCCTCCCAGGTTCAAGCGATTCTCCTGCCTCAGCTTCCCAAGTAGCTGGGATTACAGGCATGTCCTTCCACGCCTGGCTAATTTTTTGGATTTTTAGTAAGACGGGGCTTCACAGTGTTAGCCAGGATGGTCTCAATCTCCTGACCTCGTGATCCGCCCGCCTCGGCCTCCCAAAGTGCTGGGATTACAGGCATGAGCCACCGCACCTGGCCAATAATTTTCTTTTTAACTATAACATTTCTATCTGTTATTGAGCAGCCCAAATATGGGCAGAGAAAATGTGAAAAATGTTAGTAGTTCATATGCATATAGTCACTTAAGTAAATAGCTATATAAAATACCATATTATGACAAAAAGAACCATGATTATGTCATAAATATCACAAGTATCAGTGTTCTACCAAACCTAACTGTATCTGTATTAGTTCCCTGCTTGTTTGCCTCTTCTTAAGGTGAATGCTTTGTCAAAATTGTGAATACTCATATTATTTTGGATTTCATGCATGGGCCAGCCAATTTATGTTCTATTATAATCCTTTGTATTAATGACATAATTCTGCTGAATTGGCAAAAGTCCTAATGCAGATTATTTTATGAATAGAAAATTAAAAGAAAAATTATTGGCATAAAGCAGAACCACAGTGGAGGCTCACTACAATCTACTCTTCAATTTTACCTAGCACATACTCAAAGACATGCTTACATTCCAAAAATGCCCCTGCCAGTCACAATCTACATGCCATCAAAAACACCACCACCTCTCCAATGGAAAATCATGTCTACTAGACCTTCTCAGGTAGTGTCTGGAGGTCAGTGCTCAAGTCCAAGCTTTCTGTGAGATGTACAATCTCCTTCAGTGTAATTGAGTCAGGCTTTTAATGCCAAGTTCCAAAATACTGCAATCTTCAGTTAGATGATGAATTTCACTGTTCTGTCTATCAGGGTCCCAAGAAAAAATAGAAAGCACAACTAAAAAGAAAAATTTTTGTTTCTATGTTTAAGTTTTTATTTAAACCTTGAGCAAACAGCTGAGAACAACACTAATGCACTTTCTGCTCTCGTGAAACTTACATTCTGTGAGAGGAAGGGAGAATTCAAACTAATCATTTAATAGTAAAAATTAATCAAGAATTTAAGCAAGCTACAAAAGCTTATATTTGGAGGCCTGATTTGGTCAGGGAGGGGAAAATTCACTTGTCTATGTAGAGAGTAGATTTCAAGAAGGAAATTAAGTGTGGACGTAGGGTAATTCTGATTTATAATTCAAGAGCTCGGGGTTTTGTAGTAGCTGAGCTATTGCCCCTCGGCCAGCGGTTACTAAAGGAGGGAGAGTCCCATGAAGCCATTTGGCCTGAAATGAGCAGTGACCTTCAGCTGAGGGACACAGGAACGGAGGCTTAAGATAAGTACCCTTATCCTAGCTCCTAGCCTCCCACCTCCTTCTTTTTTTTTTTTTTTTTTTTTTTTTGGAGATAGAGTCTCGCTCTGTCGCCCAGGCTGGAGTGCAGTGGCGCGATCTCGGCTCACTGCAAGCTCTGCCTCCCGGGTTCACTCCATTCTAGTGCCTCAGCCTCCCTAGTAGCTGGGACTACAGGCGCCCGCCACCACGCCCGGCTAATTTTTTTTTTGTATTTTTAGTAGAGACGGGGTTTCACCATGTTAGCCAGGATGGTCTCGATCTCCTGACCTCGTGATCCGCCCGCCTTGGCCTCCCAAAGTGCTGGGATTACAGGCTTGAGCCACCGCGCCCGCCCCACCTCCTTCTTATCTACTGCTGTGCCATTGGCTGAACCCAACTGGAAGCCAGAGGAGGTAAGAATCCTTTAAGGTTTTTCATGCAGGTCAGCCTCCCAGGATAGCATTGCAGGTAGAGGAAGGTGGAGCGTGGAGAAGGATTCAGAGGGGCAAATAAAGGTGCACCACAGACAGAATTACCTTAATAAAATTATCTCATTTAGGGGAAAGAAAGGGGCTTGAGAATAATCACTTGTTAGGAGCAGGCAGTATAAAATGTTCTTGACTTGCTCCCTTGGAAATAGAGAAAGTGTCTTTGCTGTTTTGTTTTGTTTTGTTTTGTTTGTTTTGTTTTGTTTTGTTTTGTTGAGACAAGGTCTCACTCTACTGCCAAGGCTGAAGTGCAGTGGCACAACCTCAGGTCACTGCACCCTCAACCTCCTAGAATCAAGCGATCCTCCAGCCTCAGCCCCCAAGTAGCTAGGACTACAGGTGTGTGCCACTACACCCAGCTAATTTTTGTATTTTTTGTAGAGGTGGGATTTCCCCATGCTCACCAGTCTGGTCTCAAACCACTGGACTCAAGCTATCCACCCGCTTTGACCTCTCAAAGTGCTAGGATTACAGGCATGAGCCAACACACCCGGCTCAGAAATGTCCTTTAAAAGCCATTCAGCACCTTGAGTTCTTCTCCCTGGAAAGATTTCCCTTGCCTTGTATCTTTCTGGGCTGCTTCTCAGAGGGATGTTGGAGAGATTCTTCTTAAGTAGCTCTATTACCTTTGCAAGTCCAAGTCATTCTTTATAGGTGTGGATACTTAGGCCTGAGGAATGCATTACAAGTTGAGTAATCTCTGTTCCTAGGGCTAGGCTTCCCTTTCCTGGAAAATTTAATTAATTTAAAACTTCTGCTTGCTTCAAGTCAATTTGAATTTGAAACTCTATTTGCTAATTACTAAAACAAAAAATCTTATGGAGTCATGCCCATTTAAGCTTCTGGTTTACTAAAGAAAAAGGCCATCTCTGCATCATTCCTGGCAGCTCTGCCTTTCCCTGAAACTCTATTTAATGGCCTTTGTTTAGATGCGGATAAGAAACAGTAGCTGAAGTATTGAATGAGGATGATGGAGGTTTTCCTTCTAAAGTTTGCCCTTTAAGCTGAGTTCCAGGGAAATGTGATTTATAATAGGATATGGTATTCCTTTAGTCCAACTAGACAGGAGCTGCCAGAGATGCTTAAAAAGTGTTGCCAACTCTTTGGCTTCTCCTAGATGTCCACATTTTGTTTGCCAAGATCTCACTATTTCCTAACTGCTACAATGACTTTAAAGTGTGACAAATAACTAAAACAACTGTGTTATCTCCTAACTTCCATGGATTTCAAATCTTCCTCTAGAAATAAAATGCTTTGCTTTACAAATATTATATGCTTGTCCTGTTTTTCCATATCTACTTTCTGGTGGGCCTGCTTAGATGGAAATTAGTACCTCTCTTGAAAGACAGAAATTAGTGTCTCTTAAATCTTATTAAAATGATCTTAGGCCAGGAGTGGTGGCTCACGCCTGTTAATCCCAGCACTTTGGGAGACTGAGGCGGGCAGATCACCAGAGGTCAGCAGTTAGAGATCAGCCTGGCTAACATGTGAAACCCCATCTCTACTAAATATACAAAATTAGCTGGGCATGGTGGCGCACGCCTGTAATCCCAACTACTCGGGAGGCTGAGGCAGGCAAATCACTTGAACCCAGGAGACGGAGGTTGCAGTGAGCCAGAATCGAGCCACCGCACTCCAGCCTGGGAAACAAAGTGAGATTCAGTCTCAAAAAAAAAAAAAAAAAAAATTCTTAAATTACATTTCTAAAATTCTAAAGAAGTAACACACTTGAACACCCTACTACATTGCTACTATGGTCACAGGGGTTTTGGCCCCAGTATGAGAAATTATTAACTCAATATTTTTTGTATGGCTACCATATATCTCACACTCTCAGAGCTGCTGGAGAATAATTAATTGTACAATCAAGGCCTCTGCTCAATGGAGCTTTTATTTTAGCTGAGTGGATCAATAGTTTGAGATCTGAGAAACAAGAAGTGATGGTTTATAGCTACTCTTCACAGCATGTCAAGGACAGTCACCCTCACAGTCAGAGATTAAAGGATCCTCACTTTCCCCAGTCATGTCAGCTTAGCTGCTTCCATATTTTAGATTCAGTAGCTTATAAATCTCTCAATTTCTAGATTTGTCAGTATTCCTTGGTTGAAATTATGGCAGACTTGCCTGGGTAAGGAGTTCAAATTTTTTAAAAATTCAGATATTTATAACACAAATAAAATAGTTTTGCTTTTTAGCCTTCTTTCTCCTGGAACGTTATAGTTGTTCCTCCATTATTGGGTCAATTAATTCTCAAAGTGACCTTTGCAGCCTGAAATCAATCGGGATGAGCCCGATGTATCTCAACATTCTCCAACCCTGGGCTGAGTTCCTGGCCCAAGAGTGGCCATCTTCAAGTAGTTGGAAATGATCACTGTCCCTTCTCCTACATTATCCCACTTCCTCCCACACACACACACTCTTACTTACATGTGTTGAAATTTTTAATTCCACCTTGATTTCAGTCCCTAATGTCATATCTACTGGTATTCACTAGGTGCTATCTTCATGCAAGTGAGATTGCAGGCAAACTACTCTGACAGGCCAGTGCTCCCAAGACAGATATTCAGATAAGTATTGTCACAGTGGTACTACTCTGAGGGTAGAGGTTGTGGTAATGGTAATAGAAAGGGTAGGGGAAACTGATTTAAAATATGTTTTAGAGAAAGAATCAAGACAAGAGCTTTGCAACCAACTGAAAGGTAGAAAATATCTTTCCCCACAGGTGTTGCTGTTTTTTTAAACATGTGTTTAGTTTTCTGTTTATCAAGAGTAAGGGAGACCTCTTAATTCAGTTTGAGATACACCAAGTTTGAGAGCTAATTCTATATTTAGCATTAGTGCACACTTTCCTATAGGCAATGAACAAAGTGGAACTGGACCTCAGGAAAAGTGCAAGATACGAGTTTTTAATTATATTCATAGAGTTTAGAGTGGAAGAGGTGAAATTATGATTACATATGAAGAGCATGTGAAAAAAGGTAAGATGCAGATCTAGGATGGAACTTAAATTTCTGTAGTAAACAGGGAAAATAAAAGAATACAGTGGTTTCTATCTTTTGCTGCAAGTAAGAATCACTTGAGGCACTTCTAAAAATTCCAATTCCCAGATTGTACCACATACCAATGAAATTGGTATGTCTAAGGGTGGGAGCCAGGCATCAGTAATTTTTAAAAATCCCCAGATGATTTCAATGTGCAGCAATGAACTAATGAAGAAGACTGTGTATGAGTTGCTGATGTAGTTAAAAAAAAAAAAAAAACCTAACAAAGTATGGTATGGAAGCCAGAAGAAAAGATTATAAAGGAGGGTTTGGGGCATTATCAAAGGCCTTTAAAATGTGCATTTTCTTTTATTCCACTTCTAAGAATTTAATCTAATGAAATGAAATTTAAAACTTGCCTATAAGAATATTCATTCTAACATTGTTTTGAATAGTCCTACCTAAAATGTCCGAAAATGCAGTAGAACATCATCCCCTCATAAAAAATAATATGGATAAATAGATTTATGGTTATGGAAAGATCACCATGTGTTGTTAAGAGGAAACTAGATCATAAACCAATTGAGAACAGTCTGATTTATTCATATAATTGTATGATATACAATATATACACATACTATATTTTTAAACATCTAGAAGTATGTACACACAATAAAATGTTAACATTCCATAGAGGTTGAGTGGATGTCTGATTTTGTTCACATTCTTCTTATTCATCTGTATTTTTAAATTATAATAAAGTAACACACATAATTTTTAAAGGGAGAGAATGGTCAAGCGCTGGATTACCTCCCTGTATTATTTTATTGATGTGCTAGATTTTAAACCTTTGAAGGAAAGCAGTGGCCCTCTTTTTTGTTGACCACTGTGTCCCTAACACCTGGCTCAATAGTTGTTACATACTAAGCATTTGGTATCACCATTAGTGAATAAATGAATCAAATTCCTAATGGGCCTCTCTGCTTCCCGTCTTATTCTCATCCAGTACATTATCCCACCTCTTGCTAGCATGTTCATTTTGAAATACCAGTTTCATCATGTCACTGTCTTGCTAAAAATCTTTCAATTACCATTCACCATTTCAGGATAAATCCTGGATTTTTAGCATAATATCTAATATCTTGTCGGCCTATCTCTTCAGCCACATCCCTGGTAATGGTATACTTTGTACTCTGATCTGTTTTCCGTTTTATCAGGATATCCACATAAATGTTCTTCTTTGATTCAGAAAAGCCATTCTTTCTTGGTCTGACTGAACTATCCAGCTATCAGCACTTAACTCATCTTTCACCTTCTCTAGGAAGCTGTTCTCTTTTAGTCTAAATTAGGTGTCCTTCCTAATCTGAAATTTCCTTAGCCATAACACATATTATGTTGTATTGTATTATATATTATATTGTATTATATTTTATTAGAGTTTTTAATACTTTTATTTTATTTTATTTTTATTAATTTTTATTATTAATTATTATTAATTATTAATTATTGTTAATGATTTATTGTTAATTTATTATTAATAATTATTAATGTTTTTTGAGGGAGAAAAATGGGTTTATTCAGGAGTTGACAACCAGAGGAGATGGTGGACTCATGTCACAAAGATCATCTCAAGTTTCTCAGGCTAGCTAGACGGTTTTTATGGGAAGCACAGGAGTTGACTACGTGTGCGGTAGTATGTCTGGTCTTGACGACTGTCTTGAGCAGTGGGCCAACTAGTGGTCTAGCTGGTGTCTGCTTGATTACCACAAGAATACAGATGAACTACACACAGATGAAATACATTCTTCCTGGGGTCAAACGTTCCACAACCTGGATTTCACGCTTAGTTTTTCAAGGCCTGTTATTGGAGTTCTTGTTCTTTTTTTTTTTTTTATACTTTAACTTCTAGGGTACATTTGCACAACGGGCAGGTTGTTACATATGTATACAAGTGCCATGTTGGTGTGCTGCACCTGTTAATTCATCGTTTACATTAGGTATCTCTCCTAATGCTATCCCTCCCTGCTTCCCCAACCCCATGACAGGCCCCAATGTGTGATGCTCCCCGCCCTGTGTCCAGCTGTTCTCATTGTTCAATTCCCACCTATGAGTGAGAACATGCGGTGTTTGGTTTTCTCTCCTTGCGATAGTTTGCTCAGAATGATGGTTTCCAGCTTCATCCATGTACCTACAAAGGACATGAACTCATCCTTATTTATGGCTGCATAGTATTCCATGGTGTATATGTGCCACATTTTCTTAATCCAGTCTATCATTGATGGACATTTGGGTTGGTTCCAAGTCTTTGCTATTGTGAATAGTGCCATAATAAACAAACTTGTGCATGTGTCCTTATAGCAGCATGATTTATATTCCTTTACGTATATGCCCAGTAATGGGATGGCTGGATCAAATGGTATTTCTAGTTCTAGATCCCTGAGGAATCACCACACTGTCTTCCACAATGACTGAACTAGTTTACACTCCCACCAATAGTGTAAAAGCATTCCTATTTCTCCACATCCTCTCCAGCACCTGTTGTTTCTTGACTTTTTAATGATCGCTGTTCTAACTGGTGTGAGATGGTATCTCATTGTGGTTTTGATTTCCATTTCTCTGATGGCCAGTGACGATGAGCACTTTTTCATGTGTCTGTTGGCTGCATAAATGTCTTCTTTTGAGAATTGTCTGTTCATATCCTTTGCCCATTTTTTGATGGAGTTGTTTGTTTTTTTTCTTGTAAATTTGTTTAAGTTCTTTGTAGATTCTGGATATTAGCCCTTTGTCAGATGGGTAGATTGCAAAAATTTCCTCCCATTCTGTAGGTTGCCTGTTCACTCTGATGGTAGTTTCTTTTGCTGTGCAGAAGCCCTTTAGTTTAATTAGATCCCATTTGTCAATTTTGGCTTTTGTTGCCCTTGCTTTTGGTGCTTTAATCATGAAGTCATTGCCCATGCCTATGCCCTGAATGGTATTGCCTAGGTTTTCTTCTAGGGTTTTTATGGTTTTAGGTCTAACATTTAAGTCTTTAATCCATCTTGAATTAATTTTTGTATAAAGTATAAGGAAGGGATCCAGTTTCAGCTTTCTACATATGGCTAGCCAGTTTTCCCAGCACCATTTATTAAATAGGGAATCCTTTCCCCATTTCTTGTTTTTGTCAGGTTTGTCAAAGATCAGATGGTTCTAGATGTGTGGTATTATTTCCGGGGGCTCTATTCTGTTCCATTGGTCTATATCTCTGTTTTGGTACCAGTACCATGCTGTTTTGGTTACTGTAGCCTTGTAGTATAGTTTGAAGTCAGGTAGTATGATGCCTCCAGCTTTGTTCTTTTGGCTTAGGACTGACTTGGCAATGTGGGCTCTTTTTTGGTTCCACATGAACTTTAAAGTAGGTTTTTCCAATTCTGTGAAGAAAGTCATTGGTAGCTTGATGGGGATGGCATTGAATCTATAAATTACCTTGGGCAGTATGGCCATTTTCAAAATATTGATTCTTCCTATCCATGAGCATGGAATTTTCTTCCATTTGTTTGTGTCCTCTTTTATTTCGTTGAACAGTGGTTTGTAGTTCTCCTTGAAGAGGTCCTTCACATCCCTTGTAAGTTGGATTCCTTGGTATTTTATTGTCTTTGAAGCAATTGTGAATGGGAGTTCACTCATGACTTGCCTCTCTGTTTGTCTATTATTGGTGTATAGGAATCCTTGTGATTTTTGCACATTGAATTTGTAACCCGAGAATTTGCTGAAGTTGCTTATCGCTTAAAGAGATTTTGGGCTGAGATGATGGGGTTTTCTAAATATATGATCATGTCATCTGCAAACAGGGACAATTTGACTTCCTCTTTGTCTAATTGAATACTCTTTATTTCTTTCTCTTGCCTGATTGCCCTGGCCAGAACTTCCAATGATATGTTTAATAGGAGTGGTGAGGGAGGCATCCCTGTCTTGTGCTGATTTTCAAAGGGAATGCTTCCAGTTTTTGCCCATTCAGTATGATAGTGGCTGTGGATTTGTCATAAATAGCTCTTATTATTTTGAGATACTTGTCATCAATACCTAGTTTATTGAGAGTTTTTAGCATGAAGGGCTGTTGAATTTTGTCAAAGGCCTTTTCTGCATCTATTGAGATAATCATGTGGTTGTTGTCTTTGGTTCTGTTAATATGATGGATTACATTTATTGATTTGCTTATGTTGAACCAGCCTTGCATCCCAGGGATGAAGCCCACTTGATCATGGTGGATAAGCTTTTTGATGTGCTGCTGGATTGGGTTTGCCAGTATTTTATTGAGGATTTTTGCATCGATGTTCATCAGGGATATTGGTCTAAAATTCTCTTTTTTTGTTGTGTCTCTGCCAGGCTTTGGTATCAGGATGATGTTGGCCTCATAAAATGAATTAGGGAGGATTCCCTCTTTTTCTATTGATTGGGAAAGTTTCAGAAGGAATAGTACCATCTCCTCTTTGTACCTCTGGTAGAATTTGGCTGTGAATCCATGTGGTCCTGGATTTTTCTTGGTTGGTAAGCTATTAATTATTGCCTCAATTTCAGAGCCTTTTATTGGTGTATTCAGGGATTCAACTTGTTACTGGTTTAGTCTTGGGAGGGCGTATGTGTCCAGGAACTTATACATTTCTTCCAGATTTTCTAGTTTATTTGCATAGAGGTGTTTATAGTATTCTCTGATGGTAGTTTGTATTTCTGTGGGATTGGTGGTGATATCCTCTTTCTCATTTTTTATTGCATCTATTTGATTCTTCTCCCCTTTCTTCTTTATTAATCTTACTAGCAGTCTATCAATTTTGTTGATCTTCTCAAAAAACCAGCTCCTGGATTCATTGATTTTTTGAAGGGTTTTTTTGTGTCTCTAGCTCCTTCAGTTCTGCTCTGATCTTAGTTATTTCTTGCCTTCTGCTAACTTTTGAATATGTTTGCTCTTGCTTTTCTAGTTCTTTTAACTGTGATGTTAGGGTGTCAATTTTGGATCTTTCCTGCTTTCTCTTATGGGCATTTAGTGCTATAAATTTCCCTCTACACACTGCTTTAAATGTGTCCCAGAGATTCTGGTATGTTGTGTCTTTGTTCTCACTGGTTTCAAAGAACATCTTTATTTCTGCCTTCATTTTGTTATGTACCCAGTAGTCATTCAGGAGCAGGTTGTTCAGTTTCCGTGCAGTTGAGCGGTTTTGAGTGAGTTTGTTAATCCTGAGTTCTAGTTTGATTGAACTGTGGTCTGAGAGACAGTTTGTTATAATTTCTGTTCTTTTACATTTGCTAAGGAGTGCTTTACTTCCAACTATGTGATCAGTTTTGGAATAAGTGGGATGTGGTGCTGAGAAGAATGTATATTCTGTTGATTTGAGGTGGAGAATTCTGTAGATGTCTATTAGGTCTGCTTGGTGCAGAGCTGAGTTCAATTCCTGGATATCCTTGTTAACTTTCTGTCTCGATCTGTCTAATGTTGACAGTGGAGTGTTAAAGTCTCCCTTTATTATTGTGTGGGAGTCTAAGTCTCTTTGTAGTTCTCTAAGGACTTGCTTTGTGAATCTGGGTGCTCCTATATTGGGTGCATATATATTTAGGATAGTTAGCTCTTCTTGTTGAATTGATCCCTTTACCAATACGTAATGGCCTTCTTTGTCTCTTTTGATCTTTGTTGGTTTAAAGTCAGTTTTATCAGAGACTAGGATTGCAACCCCTGCTTTTTTGCAACCCCTGTTTTCTATTTGCTTGGTAGATCTTTGTCCATCCCTTTATTTTGAGCCTATGTGTGTCTCTGCATGTGAGACGGGTCTCCTAAATACAGCACACTGTTGGGTCTTGACTCTTTATCCAATTTGCCAGTCTGTGTCTTTTCATTGGAGCATTTAGCCCATTTACATTTAAGGTTAATATTGTTATGTGTGAATTGGATCCTGTCATGATGTTAGCTGGTTATTTTGCTTGTTAGTTGATGCAGTTTCTTCCTAGCCTCAATGGTCTTTACAATTTGGCATGTTTTTGCAGTGACTGGTACCAGTTGTTCCTTTCCATGTTTAGTGCTTCCTGCAGGAGCTCTTGCAAGGCAGGCCTGGTGGTGACAAAATCTGTCAGCATTTGTTTGGCGCATGAGATTGTGCCATTCCACTTACGAAGCTTAGTTTGGCTGGATATGAAATTCTAGGCTGAAAATTCTTTTCTTTAAGAATGTTGAATATTGGCCCCCACTCTCTTCTGGCTTATAGAGATTCTGCTGAGAGATCCGCTGTTAGTCTGATGGGCTTCCCTTTGTGGGTAACCCAATCTTTCTCTCTGCCTGCCCTTAACATTTTTTCCTTCATTTCTATTTTGGTGAATCTGACAATTATGTGTCTTGGAGTTGCTCTTCTTGAGGAGTATCTCTGTGACATTCTCTGTATTTCCTGAATTTGAATGTTGGCTTGCCTTGCTAGGTTGGGGAAATTCTCCTGGATAATGTCCTGCAGAGTGTTTTCCAACTTGGTTCCATTCTCCCCGTCACTTTCAGGTACACCATTCAGACGTAGATTTGGTCTTTTCACATAATCCCATATTTCTTGGAGGCTTTGTTCATTTCTTTTTACTCTTTTTTCTCTAAACTTCTCTTCTCACTGCATTTCATTCATTTGATCTTCAATCACTGATACCCCTTCTTCCAGTTGATCGAATCGGCTACTGAAGCTTGTGCATGCGTCACATACTTCTCGTGCCATGGTTTTCAGCTCCATCAGGTCCTTTAAGGACTTCTCTACACTGTTTATTCTAGTTAGCCATTTGTCTAGTCTTTTTTCAAGGTTTTTAGCTTCTTTGCAATGGGTTTGAACATCCTCCTGTAGCTTGGAGAAGTTTGTTATTACCAATCGTCTGAAGCCGTCTTCTTTCAACTCGTCAAAGTCATTCTCCATCCAGTTTTATTCTATTGCTGGTGAGGAGCTGCATTCCTTTGGAGAAGAGGTGCTCTGATTTTTAGAATTTTCAGCTTTTCTGCTCTGGTTTCTCCCCATCTTTGTGGCTTTATCTACCTTTGGTCTTTGATCATGGTGACCTACAGATGGGGTTTTGGTGTGGATGTCCTTTCTGTTTGTTAGTTTTCCTTCTAACAGTCAGGACCCTCAGCTGCAGGTCTGTTGGAATTTGCTGGAGGTCCATTCCAGACCCTGTTTGCCTGGGTATCCCAGCAGAGGCTGCAGAACAGCAAATATTGCAGAATGGCAAATGTTGCTGCCTGATCCTTCCTCTGGAAGCTTCATCTCAGAGGGATACCTGGCTGTATGAGGTGTCAGTCAGCCCATACTGGGAGGAGTCTCCCAGTTAGGCTACTTGGAGGTCGGGGACCCATTTGAGGAGGCAGTCTGTCCATTCTCAGATCTCAAACTCCATGCTGGGAGAAGCACTACTCTCTTCAAAACTGTCAGATAGGGACATTTAAGTCTGCAGAAGTTTCTGCTGCCTTTTGTTCAGCTATGCCCTGCCCGCAGAGGTAGAGTATACAGAGGCAGGCAGGCCTCCTTGAGCTGTGGTAGGCTCCACCCAGTTCGAGCTTCCCGGCCGCTTTGTTTACCTACTCAAGCTTCAGCAATGGCGGACGCCCCTCCCCCAGCCTTGCTGCCGCCTTGCAGTTTGATCTCAGACTGCTGTGCTAGCAGTGAGCAAGGGACCCTCCAAGCCAGGTGCAGGATATAATCTCCTGGTGTGCTGTTTGCCAAGGCCATTGGAAAAGCACAGTATTAGGGTGGGAGTGTCCTGATTTTCCAGGTACTGTCTGTCATGGCTTCTCTTTGCTAGGAAGGGGAATTCCCTGACCCCTTGCGCTTCCTGGGTGAGGCGATGCCCCGCCCTGCACCCTGGGCTGCACCCGCTGTCTGACAAGCCCCATTGAGATGAACCTGGTACCTCAGTTGAAAATGCAGAAATAACCCATCTTCTGGGAGCTGCAGTCTGGAGCTGTTCCTATTCGGCCATCTTGGAACCTCCTGTATTAATGATTAATTAATGAATTATTAATTATTAATTATTATTTGTCCATGGTGACGTTTCAGAAAATATTGAAAAGAAGTCTGAAGAGAATAGAGTTAGCCAATCTGCCAATATCCCAAAATATTTATTTTGTGCCCACAAATGTATATGTTTCAATGCACATCCTCCTCCCTATGTGCATTTGTATACCCTCTGCCCCCAATGTATTTCCCATAATGAAGGCAGAGTGACTTTTTAAAACTATAGACTAATCATGCCATTCCCCTCTTTAAAGTTATTTTAAAATTCCTTATTGGCTTGAGAAAAAGATCTAATATCCTTATTATAACCTATAAGGCCAGGAAAGATCCGGTTCCTACCTACCTTTCCACACTTATGGCATACCACTTCCACACCACTCCCTCCACACTAGCACATTGAAGTTCCCACCTCTATGCATACCAACATTTTTACTACTACAAAGGGAACTTTCTGTGTGTTCTCCATTATACTGCATTGTCAGTTTTTAATTATACATCTGTAAAAACTTTGCTGTCTTTATCAGTAGTAGGCATTTTGCCCAAAGTGTAATATACTTAAAGACTTAAAACAGTCAATCAAATTATAGAAATTTTCACTTTTCATTATTTCGAGAGACTAAAGAAAAAGAACTAAACAAAATGCCTACTTGGATGTAGGCAATAGCTATAAGAATAGGTACAATGATATAAACACTACTTAATAAAAACTCAAAAACATGCACAGAGTTAATATTTGATTTGCTGTGGATATTTAAGAACTGAAGGACACTTATGATTGCACAAAATGTAAAAGCAAATCAACAGAGTTAAACATAGTTAAACTTACTATGCCAAGTACCTTCAGTTAAAAAGTACATATTTCAATAAGTCCATTCTACTAATAACTTAAAAATAATATTTTTAAAAGCAGGCTGGGTGTGGCGGCTCATGCCTGTAATCCCAGCACTTTGGGAGGCTGAGGCGGGTGGATCACCTGAGGTCAGGAGTTCGAGACCAGCCTGGCCAACATGGTCTCGAACCCCATCTCTACTAAAAAAAAAAAAAAAAAAAAAAACATTAGCCAGGCATGGTGGTGTGTGCCTGTAGTCCCAGCTACTTGGGAGCCTAGGTAGGAGAATCGCTTGAATCCAGGAGGTAAAGGTTGCAGTGAGCCGAGATCGCACCGTTGCACTCCAGCCTGGATGACAAGAGTGAAACTGCATCTCAAAAAAAAGAAGCAAAAAAACTTTGCCTCTCAGGACTGTTATTTTGCCTGAAGAAAATAATATTTCCTCTAAATCTGAATATTTAGACAATAATAAAAATTAAAAGATAAAATATTATCAAGCTATAAATAAATAACATAAACTCTAAATGAGGCCAGGTGCAGTGACTCACACCTGTAATCCCAGAACTTTGGGAGGCCAAGGCAGGTGGATCACGAGGTCAAGAGATTGAGACCATCCTGGCCAACATGGTGAAACCCCGTCCCTACTAAAAATACAAAAATTAGTTGGGCGTGGTGGTGCATGCCTGTAATCCCAGCTACTCAGGAGGCTGAGGTAAGATAATCACTTGAACCAGGGAGGCGGAGGTTGCAGTGAGCTGAGATTGTGCCATTGCACTCCAGCCTGGGCAACAAGAGTGAAACTCTGTCTCAAAAAAAAAAAAAAAAATCTAAATGAACGATTCACCCATCTCCGTTCCATAATCAAGACCAATAAGGTTAAAAGTCAATTGTTTTAATACTGTCTCTCAACTATACCCTCTAAGTTTACCTTTATTTTTTCTCCATCATCATTTAATGAAGGGTTACATCTTCAAACTGTGTTAAAGATACCTGTGATATATGCATGCTTATCTTGACTGTATGATGTATATGTGTATGTTTTGGATGAAAATGGACAGAGCAGGAAAAAATGAAGACTGAGGTAAGTTTGTAAGGAATACATGCAAATACGACGGGGAAATCTAGTTAATTTTTCATTTGCTTTTTCAGATAATTTTATGTACAAGTATTTGACCATATGACTAAGTACAAAACACACATATTAGTGAAGGAAAGATAGAAGACAGACTTCTAATTTTAAAATGGTGAGCATTTAATATAATCCCTCCTCTTACACTAAATTCATAAAAATTAAGGAAAATTTATTTTTTAAATAAATAAAAATATCTATGGTGAAAACGACAGAAATAATAATTAGTCTTTGAAAAATATGAGCAGAAAAGAAAGAGGTCACAGCCCATGATTCCTTCAGAAAAGTTCTAACCCAGGAGGTGAGACCAACAAGATAAATGCTCCATGCCTGGAAGGAATGAAATCCAGGAGCAGGAGGGGTACCCAAAAGCCATTGGCAGGATGATTAGTTGGAGCCCCACAAAGGGAGAACCCAGACAGGTCAGCCCCTGAGTATCTCTCTCCTCTCCCTCCTATAAGACAAATAGCAATATCTATCTCCACAAAGGAAAGATGAATACAGTTCTTATTGCAGAGAAATAGGGCAGTGTATTAGAGAGTTGGTGACACCAAAAGGAATGAGATGCTGTCATACCAAGAGACCAGTCACCAAATTACCTACCCACTCGTAACTCTTTTCAATAGATTTAGACAGAATGTAGGGAAAAAATATTTCAGGAGGTAATAGCCTAAAATTGTCCAGAACTTTATAAAGACATGAAACTACATAATGGGTCAGTGAAAGCCATGCAAAATTAAAAAGACAGGTACAAGATGGTGAAATCTTAGAATACTAAGTATAAAAAGGAAATTTCTGACACTGCTAGAGAGAAAAGAAAGATTCCTTACAGGAAAATAAGAACAAGATTAACAACAGATTTTTCATCAGCATACTACTTGCAATTAAACACTTGAGCAAAATATTGAGTTGGAAAAAAAGTGTATATATATATATATATATATATACACGGTATATATATATATATATATATATACACGGTATATATATATATATATATATATATATACGTGTGTGTGTGTATATATATATATGTATATATTTGGACCTATAATTCTAACCCTAGTCAAATTATCAACTAAACAAAGCCACTTTCAGAGATAACAATAACTGAGAATTTGATGGTCTTATTTCCCAGTTCTATATGAGTTTAGTTTAATATTAAATATTTAATTACACTTTAGCCATATTTCAGATACAATATATGGCTGATCTTATTCCTGGGTCTTCTGTCAATGGCCTACTATGTATGAATATAGTCATTATTTTCTCTGTTACTGAAGAGATTCTTTTGAAGCCGCACTCATTAATGCAGCTGCACAGGTTAATATGCTTATTTTAAGCCTATGTCCTTTGCGTCTCCTCTACCCTACAAAGAATAATCTCCTAGATTTTAGATTTACTTGAAGCCTGATGTCCCTGGCCTAATGCCCATCTCAGAAACCCATCTTTCCAAACAACACTGCAAGTCTGACAGTCTGACTCTGACTGAGTCACGGCCTCTCCCAATCTGGCTCATTCAAATACTACTTAAACCTTGGGTAGAGCAGATTAAAATTTTTAGTAGCACACAAGATTATATGTTCTTTTAGAATTTTAGGCTACAATGTGCCAATAAAAAAATCATAAAGAATAAAAGAGTCATCTTAGCCCACAATTTACTAGCTGTGTGACCTAGGGCATGTTTTACTAAACATGCCTCAACCTATTTTTATTACACAGGGAGAATACCTTTTTTCCCCAGGGTTATTGTGCAAAACAAATGACATTTTATATATATAAGAGGCCAAACAATGCTGTCAATAAATATGAATGTTCTCTTCTTCCTCTTTCTTAATGACAGGGCAATTTTCTGCAGGTAAAGAAAAATGAATTCATTTAATCTTAAAAAATAGTTTGAGAAATAAAAATAAAAATGCATGTTTCCAGTGCATGAATAAAGAAAAGTTAAAAATGAGTTGACTGTATAAGGTGATATTTTAATTTACTTATGTTGCCATCTGTAATGCCTATTTAAAATCAACTTACCTAATATTTCTTAAGTATATAAAATATTTAGACCCTCTCAATGTAATCATATCATACAATTACACAATATATTTGTGTAACTAAAGTATATAACCAGAAAACTTATTTGTTAATTTATAATGAGAAATATTGTCAATCTGGCCAAATAGACCATATTTTTCAGGTTGACCAGCAAACTTTTTCTTAATGGGAAAATTAAATTATCAGAATATTTCTTAGCATAAATTCAGCACCATAGACATTAGTTCTGTAATTCCAAGGTACCTGATACATCTTCCTGCACAATAGATATCTACATGCTAGGTTACTCAAAAACAAGGTAGCCTGATCTCTCACCTCTTCTCCAGCATAGTGTTCATTTCTTACAGCTGGTGTTAGACTTCAAGACTCTACCTCTGGCTGAATTGTTCTTCAAATTTGTTTTGCCTTCAAGCAGGGTTACTGTTTCATTTTATTGCTCTGATAGTCACCTTTAAGATGACTTTGGATGTGGGCTTATTTAACAGGTTAGCCCTCAGAAGTTGTTTTCTTTTAATCAAATGGATTATCTGGTGCAGAATGAACTTTAAATTTTGAAGCAGGAGAAGTTTCCAATGAGAATATGGCATGTGGTTTTCCCGCATTCTGATGTGGAAATTGAGTGGGCCCTTTTACTCTTGTACTCAAGTAGCTTTCCATTATTCTTGAAGACACTCCTGAATATAAGGGAATAGTCCCACCAGAGCCCTGACCTTAATGTAAATTTGATTTATTAGCCAGGCTGAACCTCCACAGAGTTAGACATAGTTTATCTTAAATCTGAATTCAGGCTACTTGCTACTGAAAATTACTATTTTGTTCTTGGAAGTTGTGTTTATAATTTTTGTTTAACCATTTGCTTCCAGGAGATAGGAGATGAGATTATGCCATGCATACAGTAGCAACTTTTCTTTACCTCATCCTGAAGGCAAGATTGAATGCAAAGTGCATTGGATTTGACGCAGTGGCATATGGACTATAATGTAACATTTCTCTTCCACATAAAGTGTTATTTGAGACTAAATGGGCAAACCACAGTGATGGCTTTGAGTAGTCTGTGGAGCCCAACACCAATATTGGGGAGGATGTGGGTTTTTCTCCTGATATAAATGGGATTTTCATTCATATGCACTCTGTAAATGTGCGTGTGCATGTGTGTGTGTGTATGTCTGTATGTCTGTCTGTGTCAGCTCATGCTACATGGAGGTCTGCCGGTTGCTATGCAGGGAATCTAAAAGATAGTTGGACTGTGAGTCCTGGGAGTAGCAAGTAACTACTTCCGGTAGCAGTTGTTAGTCAATGGTCATAGATTAGTGTTTCATAGTTCTATGGAGGCCCACAGAAATATTTGGTTTGGCCACAGCACTTTCTTTAAAAAAAAAAAAAAAAAGAATTAGTTGCCAGTATTGAAAAATAAGAATATTTCCCTTAAAAAATATAAATTGCAGAGTTCTTTTGCAAAATCGTAACTGGAAAAACTAAGCCCTGTTTCCATATATCAACAATCAGTTGGCTTTGAATAGCAGCTTCTCCCTTTAAATGCAGTATGTCGTCGTCAGTTCACTCATACTGGCTGTTATTTCTTTTCTTTTCTTTTCTTTTTTTTTCTTTTTTTTTTTTTTTTGAGACGGAGCCTCGCTCTGTCGCCTAGGCTGGAGTGCAGTGGCGTGATCTCAGCTCACTGCAAGCTCCGCCTCCCGGGTCCACGCCATTCTCCTGCCTCAGCCTCCCGAGTAGCTGGGACTACAGGTGCCTGCCACCATGCCCAGCTAATTTTTTTGTATTTTTAGTAGAGACGGGGTTTCACCATGTTAGCCAGGATGATCTCGATCTCCTGACTTCGTGATCCGCCCATCTCGGCCTCCCAAAACGCTGGGGTTACAGTCGTGAGCCACTGCGCCTGGCCACTGGCTGTTATTTCCTAACATTAAAGCCAAATGGCATGCCCACATTTCTTAAACTATGCAGCCTTCACGCTTCCATTACCAGCCAGACTTCTGTTGACATTTGAGTTTGCAAACCCTATGACTCCCAAGCCTGGCCAAGGTCCTAGCCGGGCCTCAACTGTATTACGAAGAATTACAAGAACAGTTTCCCCTCCTGTGAGCTGGAGAGACAATGCCAGTTGCAATTAGAGGCAGAGTATCAGTCTGATAAACATCAGCAGCAATAAAGGTAGCATCCTGTCAGTCAGCAGGGTGGGAAGGCTGCAAGGAAGGACCCAGCTGCAGCAAGGCTCCTGAACAAAAAGCCAAGCAGTACTCTAGGAAACGCTCCAAACAATGTTGTAGAAAAATACATGCTAACATCTGGTAAGCAAACAGACAGAGTCTTTTTTCATAATTATATACATATAAAAATGAAGCATAACCTCATTATGTAGTGACAGGTGTGGGATATGATGCGGTTTCTCTTCAAATAATCTGATCAATCTTTTATTCTTTAATTCATAGTACCCCCGCCGTTTTTCCGTTTTTCTCCTTTAATGCCCAGGCACGCTACAGTACCAGGCATTATCAGTACCACCTCGCATTCCTTTCCTTATTTAAAAAAAAAAAAAAAGACTAACTTTCTAGCTCATTGCAGACAACCCTTCCCCTTCCTCTCCACTTCCTTTATTTTTTTTTTTTTTTTTTTTTTTTTTTTTAGACGGAGTCTCCCTCTGTCCCCCAGGCTAGAGTGCAGTGGCGCAATCTTGGCTCGCTGCAAGCTCCGCCTCCTGGGTTCACGTCATTCTCCTGCCTCCGCCTCCCTAGTAGCTGGGACTACAGGCGCCCGACTAATTTTTTTGTATTTTTAGTAGAGACGAGGTTTCACCGTGTTAGCCAGGATGGTCTCAATCTCCTGACCTCGTGTTCTGCCCGCCTCGGCCTCCCAAAGTGCTGGGATTACAGGCGTGAGCCACCGCGTCCAGCCTTCCTCTCCACTTTCTTGTACGTGCCCACCCTATCTAAAAAAAATCAAATGCTTAGCCAACCGAGATTAGTTTAAATTGTACGACCCGACCCTGGCCAATAAAAAAAGCGTACGGGGCAGGACTTGCGACAGAAATAAAGGTTCCCCTGCCCCTTTGTTCAGGTGTGCTCTCATGTAACTGGCCAAGGAGGCACCCCTGTGCGCAGAAGTAAAATTGCTTTGCTAAGAATCCTTTGTTCGAGTGTTCAATTTCCTTAGGATTTTGAACGTTATTCCTAACACAGGCTAATGGGGCTGGTGACATACGTGTTGCACAAGTTCTGAAAGGGTCATCTCATGGTCATTCGTTTACATTTATCTACAACCACTTTCTCACTTGTTTTGCCTCAGCCTTACCCTGCATATGAAGTTTGGCTTAAAATAGAGCAAAAATCAAACAATTTTCCTGTGGAAGTAGTAAATAGGGAAAAAATACAAATAAAAACAATGGTGTTTTTTGTTTGTATGTTTGTTTGTTTTTGGTTTTTTGGGTTTTTTTGAGACAGCGTCTATCTCTGTTGCCCAGACTGGAGTGCAGTGGCGCAAGTTCGGCTCAGTGCAACCTCCACTTCCCAGGTTCAAGTGATTCTTGTGCCTCAGCCTCCCTAGTAGCTGGGTTACAGGCATGCACCATCATGCCCGGCTAATTTTTGTATTTTCAGTAGAGACTGGGTTTCACCATGTTGCCCAGGCTGATCTCAAACTCCTGGCCTCAAGGGATCTGCCCACCTCAACCTCCAAAGTACTGGGATTACAGGCATGAGCCACTGCGCCTGGCCGATGGTGTGGCTGTTTGATTGTTTGTTTTGAGACAGAGTCTCACTCTGTCACCCAGCCTGGAGTGCAGTGGTGCAATCTTGGCTCACTGCAGCCTCCGCCTCCTAGGTTCAAGTGATTCTCCTGCCTCAGCCTCCCTGGTAGCTGGAATTACAGGCACCTGCCACCATGCCTGGCTAGCATTTTTGTATTTTTAGTGGAGATGGGGTTTCACCATGTTGGCCAGGCTGGTCTTGAACTCCTGACCTCAGGTGATTCACCTGCCTCAGCCTCCCACAGTGCTGGGATTACAGGCATGAGTCACCGCACCTGGTCAATGGTGTGTTTTTTAAAGATTATAAAGTATCCCTGATTGAAATGTGGGTTACACCTTTTCATAAAGAGCACATCTTTAATCTTACTTTCTTTTATGGTCATCCATATGAATATTTTGAAACTCTATTAAATAGAATCATACAGAATGAAATTCTGTATGTTACAGAATTGTCAGTATATAAGTTTATGCTATTGTATTTACATTTGAAAGGATCTGCTGCACCATAGTTGGAGACTGGGAATTTTGACAGAAGTTGAAATACTATGATTGGATATAATATGGAAGTGGGGTGAGTATCTTTGGTGTGAAAGGAACTTCACTAACACAAGTGGCTGAGCCCCAGCTGCACATCATTATCTACAGAGGTGTGGTGTTTCAGTTTTTCTAGAGAGTCATTTCTGAACCCAAGCTGTGCAATGTCATGGAGACTACAAAGACTGCCATAGATCTAGGGAAGGATATCAAGGTTTCCATGTTGGGTTATTTTGAAAAAGCCCATATATTTATGTGACTGATTTTTAATTCATTTTATAATTATGAAACATGCCTATAAACAATGTCTACCGATTACAAATTTTGCATGCTCAGCCAGACACAGTGACTCATGCCTGTAATCCCAGCACTTTGGGAGGCCGAGGTGGGTGGGTCATCTGAGGTCAGGATCACCTGAAGTCATGTACCGGAGCCAGGCTTGGTGGCATGTGCCTATAATCCCAGCTACTCAGAAGGCTGAGGCAGGAGGATCTGGGCTCACTGCAACCTCCACCTTACTTGAGCTCAGGAGGTAGCGGTTACAGTAAGCCCAGATTGCTCCACTGCACTCCAGCCTGAGGGACAGAGAGAGACTCCATCTCAAAAAAAAAAAAAAAAAAAAAAAAAGTATGTCCTACATAATATGTTGTAAATGAAAGAAAAGCAAATGAAGTAAATGAGGAGAAACAAGAGTCTTTATAGGTAGATACCGAGACATTAATTAGCTGCAGAGTAGGGCATGTACCTGTTCAACTTTACAATATACTGCCAAATTGCAGCAATGTATGAGAGTTCCTGTGTTCCTCCATGGTTATTTCTCTCATTATATCTCAAGTGCCTAGCATAATGCTTAATACATGGTAGAGCATAATGATATTTGACAGATGAATGAACGACAGTCAGGGTTTATTTACCATTGGGACTATCCAAAATACAAGCCCAGCATCAACTCCTACTAGAGGCATATAGGGGCAGACCCAGGATTATGCAAGGGTCTGCCCAGAGAAGCAAAGTAGAGCACACTGCAAGGGAGGAAGAGTGACAAGGAAACCATCAAACTCCAGGTGAGAAAAGTGTGACAGGATAGGTGGGACATGGCAGCAAGGCAATCTGAGCATAGGCAATATGCAGAGATCCAGGCCGTGAATTCTTAGCTGGTGGGAACCCTAACTATGAAGGGAAGACCCCAGGTTCTGAAGGCAGGTAACAGCAAGGCAGAGACCTAGTGTTAGAGAAACAATTGGCTTTTATGGAAGGAAAGAGACTTGGAGGTATAAAGTATTTTAAGGAGGACTGGGGCACTGAGTGGTAACTAAAGAAAATCCCAAAGTTAACATCAGATTGGATCTGTCAGACTTCATCTATGCCTTTAAATTTCAGTCCTAGACCCCCAATCGCTAATGAATGTTGTGAACCCCAAAAATCTAAGACAGGTCTCAGTCAATTTAGTAAGTTTGCCAGTGCTGAGGACTTGCTCCCGTGACACAGTCTCAGGAGGTCCTGATGACATGTGCCCAAGGTGGTCAGAGCACAGTTTGGTTTTATACATTTCAGGGAGACATGAGACATCAATCAACATAGGTAAGATGAACATTGTTTCATTCTGGAAAGGCAGGACAACTGGAAGCTTGGAGGGGACTTCCGGGTCATACATAGATAAGAGACAAATGGTTGCATTCTTCTGAGTTTCTAATTAGCCTCTCCAAAGGAGACAATCAGATTTGCATTTATCTCAGTGAGCAAGGGGTGACTTTGAATAGAATGGGAGGCAAGTTTGCCCTAAGCAGTTCCCAGCTTGACTTTTCCCTTTAGTTTAGTAACCTTGGGGGGGCAGGATATTTTTCTCTCACATTTCCCCCCTTTTCTTTTTTAAAATCTTTGGAGAAAACATGTTAAAAGAAAATGAGTCTCTGATCTCAGATTTCCTCTAATTTCTCATGGGTACAATGGGTTATTCCTAGGCAGATAGGTCCTGAGTTATTAGGAAAGCTCATTTTTTAGAAGTTGTGAAGCTTCATATCCTTTAAAGATAAAATAGGGGGAGGAAGGGAGAAAAACAACAATAAGCAAAAGAACAATCCTGGAAAATTGATATAGGCCACATTACTCTGAAATCCTTACATTGGAGGCAGGTAGGAAAGTGGCTTATGTATGTAAATAGGTTGCTGTTATTTTCTTCTGAAGTTCGAGTTGTCTAGCTTCAGTTCACAGGGCTTTACGAAAGCACAGCTTAGTTTTCAGTGACTCCAAATTAGGAAAAGTGGGGAAAAAAAAGAAGAAAAAAATGAGAACATTATTTTGAAGACTTGTAGCCAAGAAAAATTAGAATTTGGTCCAAACTGTAGAAAATAATAAAAATTGAAAAACATTAGGCAAGACCTAGAATCTAACAACAGGTATAGTATAGGTTTTGAAACACAGTTATTCTCTCTCCAGTTTTTAATTTTTACTCAAGACAAATCATGATAGGATTCATTTGCTTTATGATACTTGGCCAAATTATTTGTATACAGCTCAGCAAGAATAATTATTTTTTTACATAGGCTTTTAAATTGGCTTTGATAAAAGTTTGAACTAACTTTGGGAAGAACTTAGTTTATAGTTTAGCTTTGAAAGAAAGATGATAACAGTCCTTTCCCAAAACAAACCTTACTGCCTGTGGACTAGACCGACAAAAGCCACAAGATTAGAAGTCACAGTAATCTTACTAAATTCAAGATGTTGGCAGGGCTTGGTGGCTCCTGCTTATAATCCCAGCACTTTGGGAGGCTGAAGCGGGCAAATCATATGAGCCCAGGAGTTTGAGTCCAGCCTGGCTAACATGGCGAAACCCTGTCTATACAAAAAATACAAAAATTATCTGGGAACGGCGGCACATGCCTGTAATCCCAGCTACTTGGGAGGCTGAGGCATGAGAATCACTTGAACCCAAGAGGCAGAGGTTGCAGTGAGCTGAGATCATGCCACTGCACTACAGCCTCGGTGACAGAGTGAGACTCAGTCTCAAAAAAAGTAAATAAAGGCAGGGCATGGTGGTTCATGACTGTAATCCCAGCACTTTGGAAGACCGAGGTGGGCGGATCACGAAGTAAGGATATTGAGATCACCCTGGCTAACAAGGTGAAACCCCATCTCTACTAAAACTACAAAAAATTAGCTCCGTGTGGTGGCATGCGCCTGTAGTCCCAGCTACTCCGGACTGAGGCAGGAGGCTCAGGCTGAGGCAGGAGAATCACTTGAACTTGGGAGGTGGAGGTTGCAGTGAGCCGAGATCGTGCCACTGCACTCCAGCCTCGGTGACAGAGCAAGACTGTCTCAAAAAAACACAAATAAATAAATAAATAAAATAAAATGATGTAGCTTATTACACCAATATCAATCTCTAATTTATTTAAAGATTACACAGGGAAAGATCATTTTCTTGGGCTGGTTTTATAGTTTTGTAACCACTATGCCAAATTTTGACACCTCATAGCATTTGACAGGGATAAGTATGAAATTGCTTGATTAATAAATACAAAACAAAAATGTATGCTGGCAATTCTTAAGACATTTCTAATATTACTTTACCAATAATTTTAAAGCTAGCTTATTTATTAAAGATTTTACTTAAGTTACATAAACTTGAATAAGCATTTGACTAGTCTTTTCTTTTTTCCAATAAAGTATTTGATTCAAGCATTTTTGTTTTCTTAAGCCAATTAATTAGAGCTCTTTTATCTATTTTGAGTAGTGAAACATTCTGTACATAACATATAAATACATAGACATATTAGGCATGCTGATAAATTACATCTTATAGATTTATAAAAACCTTTTTTTCCCTATCTTAGACTTTCAGATTTTTGATAATCTGTTTCACAACCCTAGGCAGTTGTCAGGTAAACACGCTTAAATTTGCAAATTAAAGGAAACGACTCAGGTGAAATGCAAATAGCAAAATTTACATCACAAGGTACTGAGAGAAAAAGTCTGGTGATGCTAGAGGGAGATTAAAGATAGATGCCAAATCAAACATAAAATTACAGAAATCTATCGTAAGATTGGATAAGGAGACCAGTTTTATTTAGATAGGAACTACCTATCTTTTAACTGGATCCCTGAGCTGTGGGCAGAGCCCACACTGATTCCAGGGTCTCCAGAATGGGAGAATTATAATAAGGTTAGACCACATGATACTTTTTTAAGTTTTTTTAAGTGCACTTAGAAAAATTTTTTTTAAGCAAAGACATTTCTAGTGTCTAAAACACACTCTTCCTTAAAAACCCAAGAGCAAACTCTGTTGCAATAACTATGTTAGCCAAAAACAAAAACAAAAAACCAGGTAACACAATACAAAAGTGTCAGGCCTCTGAGCCCAAGCTAAGACATCATATCCCCTGTGACCTGCACATACACATCCAGATGGCTGGTTCCTGCCTTAACTGATGACATTCCACCACAAAAGAAGTGAAAATGGCCTGTTCCTGCCTTAACTGATGACATTACCTTGTGAAATTCCTTCTCCTGGCTCCTCCTGGCTCAAAAGCTCCCCCGCTGAGCACTTTGTGACCCCCACCCCTGCCCGCCAGAGAACAACCTCCCTTTTTCCTTTACCTACCCAAATCTTATAAAACGGCCCCACCCCTATCTGCCTTCGCTGACTCTTTTCGGACTCAGCCCACCTGCACCCAGGTGAAATAAACAGCCTTGTTGCTCACACAAAGCCTGTTTGGTGGTCTCTTCACACGGACGTGAGTGAAAAAAAGTAAGCAGTTTAAGAGCTGAGAGGACCTTGTCTGTTTGCATTCTTGGGGTTCCATAAGGAAAAACAGGTTTCTCCTCCGAAGGGAGTCTGGTGCCTTCACTGTTTTCTTTAAGGAACCCCAGGCTATTACGAACTATTTTAGGTTCCCCATGCAGCAGAGGGTGCAAGAGAAAGGAGAGAGAGCAGAAACAAACAAGTGAAGAAAACAGAATTCAGTCAACTGAGAAGAAAAAACTTTTGCTCGAAAAAGAGACAAGGTCCTAGGAGAAAAGCAAAAACAAAAGCATGAGGGTCTTTTAAATACAAACACACACATATGCACACATACACACACACATCTTGGATGTTAGCTTTTAATTAAGCTGACTAGCCACTGAGCCCCTTTAAAAAATATGTTTTTAAATATCATTACCATATTTCAGCTAGGACAAATTGCTGCTATTTCAGAAGTAATAGCCATTGCTCTTTCAGTTTGGCCTGATTAGCAAAAAGGCCACCTTGCTATGTAAATAAAGCCTATTAGTAGTCAAAATCAAAGCCTTTCCTCTTTTTTTTCCTTTTGCTGGTATATTTCTCTGCTACCACACCACCGTTTTTGTAGTTGTTGTTGCTGTTGTTGTTGTCGTCGTTTTTCTGGGAATTTAGCCACTTCAGAGGCCTTGTTCCATAATTTGGAACTTCCTTTGGATTTGATCTAGTTGGATAGAGTTGATCAAACCCAATGAGAAAAAGACTGAAACAACAACAAAAACCAGAAACAAAAAACAATAACAAAACAAAAGTTAAGCAAAACAAACAATTGCACAACTTACATGATTACCAAGCACTCTAATGGTAAGGAGAAATTAAGATCAGGCGGTTGGAAATCTTAACTTTAACCAAGACAAACCCCACTTCATTTTTCATGTGCATCCGTGTGAAGAGACCACCAAACAGGCTTTGTGTGAGCAACATGGCTGTTTATTTCACCTGGGTGCAGGCGGGCTGAGTCTGAAAAGAGAGTCAGCGAAGGGAGATAAGGGTGGGACCGTTTTATAGGATTTGGGTAGATAAAGGAAAATTACAGTCAAAGGGGGGTTGTTCGCTGGCGGGCAGAGTGGGGGATCACAAGGTGCTCAGTAGGGGAGCTTTTGAGCCAGGATAAGGAATTTCACAAGACAATGTCATCAGTTAAGGCAGAAACAGGCCATTTTCACTTCTTTTGTGGTGGAATGTCATCAGTTAAGGCAGGAACCGGCCACCGGGATGTGTATGTGCAAGTCACAGGGGATACGATGGCTTAGCTTGGGCTCAGAGGCCTGACATCATTTACTTGCCTAGGGATGGATTTCAGGCTGAAGGCTGCTCTCTACCATCCTAGAAGTAGGGGGCAGCGGAGGGGATCTCATCAGGCTGGGTGCGGTGGCTCACACCGGTAACCCCAGCATTTTGGGAGGCCAGGGCAGGCAGATCACTTGAGGTTAGTAGTTCAAGACCAGCCTAACCAACATGTTGAAACCCTGTCTCTACTAAAAATAAAAAATTAGCTGGGCATGGTGGTGAACGCCTATAGTCCCAGCTACTCAGGAGGCTGAGGTAGGAGAATCACTTGAACCCAGGAGGCAGAGATTGCAGTGAGCTGAGATCGTGCCACTGCACTCCAGCCTGGGTGACAGAGCAAGACTCTGTCTCAAAACAAATAAACAAACAACAACAAAAACTCATCTTCCCTGTTGGAAGTGAGCTCAAACTCCATAAAGGAGTTATCTGCCTTCCATCATTATGGAAGCAGGGAAAACTTGCCTTCCTTGGGTTGGAAGCAAGTAAAATTCAAAAAAAGGAGTTACGTACCAAAATAAACTGTAGATCTCAACCAAATTTTGGAAGATCAGGGATTCTCTGGAGAGGGTGCTTCCAGACCTCAGCAAATTATCCTATTGGTTTGAGCCATAAAGATAGCTCAAGCTGATACCAAACACCAAAAGGAGATTTGTCAAAGGTCAGGGGCACCTCTACTTAGAATCCCTCTGTGGTTACCAAAACATGAACCCCCAAATTATGAGACAGGTCTCAGTTAATTCAGAAAGCTTATTTTGCCATG
This sequence comes from Homo sapiens, assembly GCF_000001405.40. Classification (NCBI taxonomy): domain Eukaryota; kingdom Metazoa; phylum Chordata; class Mammalia; order Primates; family Hominidae; genus Homo; species Homo sapiens. The sequence goes on along the minus strand of NT_167250.2, from coordinate 98,781 downwards.
GTTGAGGATGTGAGCCCATGACAGCCTCAGGAAGTTCTGATGACATGTCCCAAGGCAGTCAGAGCAGTTTGGATTTATACATTTCAGGGAGACATGAGACATCAATCAACATATGTAAGATGAACATCATTTCGGTCTGGAAAGGCAGGACAACTGGAAGCTTGGAGGGGGCTTCCAGGTCATAAGTAGATAAGAGACAAATGGTTGCATTCTTTTGAGTTTGTGATCAGCCTCTCCAAAGGAGGCAATCAGATATGCGCTTATCTCAGTGAGAAGAGGGGTGACTGAATAGAGTGGGAGGCAGGTTTCCCTAAGAGGTTCCCAACCTTAACTTTTCCCTTTAGCTTAGTGATTTGGGGGACCCAAGATATTTTCCCTTCACAATGTCAATGATTTTCTGGCATAGTTCAGGGAGTAACCCAAAGGGTATTTGAGACAGTTCCCAAACAATTTAGAAGTTTATTTTGCCAAGGTCAAAAACATACCCGTGACACAACCTTAGGAGTCCTGAGAACATGTGCCCAAGGTGGTCAGCTACAGCTTGGTTTTATACATTTTAAGGAGACATAAAACATCAATCAATACATGTAAGATGTATATTGGTTTGGTCTGGAAAGGTGGGACAACTCAACTTGGTTGGGAGGGCTTGTGGGGAGTGGGATTTCAGGTCATAGGTGGATTCACAGTTGAAGAGTTTATCTAAAGGCGTGGAATCAATAGAAGGGAGTGTCTGGGTTAAGAAAAGCGGTTGTTGTGGAGATCAAGGCTTTTATTATGCAGATAAAGCCTCCAGATGGGAGGCTTCAGAGAGAATACACTGTAAATATTTCTCATCAGACTTAAAAAGGTGCCAAATTCTTAGTTAATTCTCTCCTGGATCAGGAAAAAGACTTGGAAAAGGAAGGGAATTCTTTACAGAATATGGATTTTCCCCACAACAGACACCATTGCAGGGCCATTTCAAAATATGTCAAAGAAATATATCTTGGGGTAAAATATTTCAGTTTTCTTCAGGGCCTGCTGTCTGCTATGTTGGTCTCTTATTGCTACAGTGTCTCCCTTCGTTGTCTTAAGGACTCTGTTTTTTTTTTTTTTTTTGAGACAGAGTCTCCCTCTGTCACCCAGGCTGGAGTGCAGTGGCACGATCTTGGCTCACTGCAACCTCCGCCTCCTGGGTTCAAGCAATTCTCTGCCTCAGCCTCCCGAGTAGCTGGGATTACAGGTGCCCACCACCATGCCCGGCTAATTTTTGTATTTTTAGTAGAGACGGGGTTTCACCATCTTGGCCAGGCAGGTCTTGAACTCCTGACCTCGTGATCCACCCGCCTCAGCCTCCCAAAGTGCTGAGGCGGGTGCTGGGATTACAGGTGTGAGCCACCGCATCCGGCCAAGGTCTCTGTTTTAATGTTAATGCTGGTCAGTAGTGACTGAATTCCAACAGGACGAGGGTATAATGAGGCATGTCTGACCACTCATTCCCGTCATGGCTTGAACTAGTGTTTCAGGTTAACTTTGGAATACCCTTGGCCAAGATGAGGGTTCCATTCAGTTCACTGGAGGCCTTAGAATTTTATTTTTCATTTACAAGCATTTATAGTGTCAGCCTGTAAATAGAGTTCTTTCTGTTCATAACTCATTTTCCTTGACCACCTCCTCCCTACTGACCATCATTTGTATTTCATTCCTTTCTCTGTCTGGTGTTTCCTGCTCTATTAGTCAGTCATTTACCCCTGGTGCCCATAATTTAATACCAAATAATGGCTTCCCAATTTTAGTTCAGTCTACTTATTGAATGATTCCAAGTTAATCTGTTAGGATTAACTATTATCCTCCTCACATACATACATATATATTTATATACACATATATATATACATAATGTCTCACTCTGTTACCCAAGCTGGAGTGCAATGCCACAATCTTGGCTCACTGCAACCTCCACCTCCCAAATTCAAGTGATTCTCCTGCCTCAGCCTCCCAAGTAGCTGGGATTACAGGCACATGCTACCACACCCAGCTAATTTTTGTATTTTTAGTAGAGACAGGGTTTCACCATGTTGGTCAGGATGGTCTTGAACTCCTGACCTCAGGTGATCTACCCGCCTCAGCCTCCCAAAGTGCTGGGATTACAGGTGTGACCCACTGTGCCCAGCCTTCCTCACGTACTTTATTGTCTCTTGTGTATTTCTATACTATTGCTTATAGTACTCACTTCAGGAAAGACCTTATTCCAACACAATGATAGGAAGGGTAAAACCAATGATTAAGACAATAATTACTGCATCAAGTTTAAGTTCTGAGATACAAAATATCTATAGTAGTAGTTTGACATTCACAATCCCAGCAATGCTTAGGACTGTGTATTCCAAAGAAGCAGCCACACAGTGTAGAGAAGTCTATACACAACATGGCACATTATGATGATGGAACAATGAAAATGATAACATTGTCCTTACTCTTCCATCTTTGTCCAATGTTTCCTATTGTAAAGATATAACAACACTGTTCCTTTGTGATGCCATAGTCTCCCTACCCATGGAAGAGATATGGTTAAGTTTTATTCAGTAATTTATTCACTAATTTGATGGTTAAAAATATCAAAGTATGGGCCAGGTGTGATGGCTCATGCCTGCAATCCCAGCACTTTGGGAGGCCGAGGTGGGCAGATCACCTGAAGTTGCGAGTTTGAGACCAGCCTGGCCAACACAGTGAAACCCCATCTCTACTAAAAATATAAAACTTAGCTGGGCATGGTGGCACGTGCCTGTAATCCCAGCTATTCTGGAGGCTGAGGCATGAGAATTGCTTGAACCTGGGAGGCAGAGGTTGCAGTGAGCCTAGGTTGCGCCACTGCACTCCAGCCTAGGTGACAGAGCAAGACACTCTCTCTAAAAAAGAAAAAAAATTTCAAAGTATGTGCAATGAAGAACCATATTTAATAGACACATAAATATTAATTAATTAATTAAGAAATAAATCTACTTATCTCTGAAAATACTGCTGATTGATCTGAGGGACTTGAACTTCAGCTGTAATCAGATATATATATTTAATTAATCCATTGTAGAATTTTAAACTGTAAGCTCTTTCATGAATTTCCCATAATCAGTAGTTTCATGGAATACTGACAAATGAAATATTCTCTACCTTCACTCCTTTTCTGGCACTCATAGGGAATGAATAAAATATTAGACACCAATACAATGTAACAAATCTCAAATATTAAGTGCATAGAATGTACAATTAAACTGAGGATTTCTGATAAGCCTAATTCTACAAAATCTGAGTGCCCACTACTATAGCAGTAGGTACTACTTCAAAATTCAGGCCACACAGCCTCTCTTAAGTCTGCAAAATGTGTAACTTGTGTCCTGCCATAAAGTCAACAAGTATCTTTTTATCATGCTAGATCCCCATTCTTTTCACAGTGAATTTTCAACAAGATCATCTATTTAAAGGACAGCAAAGAATCTGACACATAGTAAGCTATTGGTTCATCATTTATTCATGCAATACTTATTCCTAGAAGTATTTCCTAATATGGGGAAAAGATTCAATAAGATCATCTATTTAAAGGACAGCAAAGAATCTGACACATAGTAAGCTATTGGTTCATTTATTTATTCATGCAATACACATTCCTGGAAGTATTTCCTAATGTGGGGCATAACTCTATGGCTTTGTGCCTTAACACAATCTAACTGATGTACATATTCTAAAAACTCACATGCAAGTCTGTGTATATACAGATCCATCTATCCTTTCTATTCACAGAAAGAGAATATTTGTTCTTACTAGTTAGGGCTAGAATGTTTTGTAACTGCATATCTTTATTCCTGGGCCATCTTGGAAATTACTTGACATGGGGAAAAGAAGAAAGATGAGGAGGAAGAGGTAAGAAGGAGGGGGAAGAATGCAGGAATAGAAAACATTAATCCAATGAAATTTTGAAATGATTATTTCCTGTTTTTACTTTTTATACAGTCTGGAGTTTGTTTGGTATTTATACAGTCTGGAGTTTTGTTTGGTGATAACTAATTAATACACAATCTCATTCTCTCTGATTTTCTTTTTTATCTTCTCACATTTTTCCAATTACCATGTATTACTTTAGAGAGTATGCAAAAAATATAGCAGGAAAGCTGAAATAAGAATAAACAAGATAACTTTAAGACTATTAGTTACCACCACCGTTCGCTTGTGCCCTTACATAGACTTGGCATATGATCCTGGAAGTGTCATCTCCTGTAGCAAACTGCTGACCTTGGCAGGTGAAGGATGTTCTGTCACTTCAGGGAAAGGCATTATGAAGGAATAATAACAGGCAAAATTAAATGAAGACAGTGCCAACCAATACGTAGGTGGAGCTAGAAAACCAGCCCAAGAGAGTTTCAATCTACTAAAAAAGGAATGGGATGACTGGGAATAATTAAAATCAATGGCAAGATGTCCTTTCCTCTCAAATTGACTGCAGCAAGAGCCAGGCAAGGGCTAAATAATTCTTGTTAAAAGGAAAGAAATAAGTAACCCGAGCGTTACTCATATGAAAACTTTCACACACCTGTCCTCTTGCTATTTATTAATTTTATTCTTACTCAAATCTCAAAATAATTTGATATCTCCTTTTTGCCACTGGAAAGGGATGAGCATTAGTAATTTATACCTATAGATCTAAGCTCTGATGAAGGGCTACATTTTTTAAAATAGTAAAAACAATAATTTATGCCTTGCCTTTTTTCTGAGAAGTAGGACAGCAATATTTTAAATGGAATAATTGCCATATGGTCCTGAAACATTCACATGTATATATACAACCTCTCATTAGACGTAACAAATACTGGATGATATGTAGAAACTAATCTTGACCAAAAAACCACAACAAAAAAATCCTGATTTATGGCATATGCCTTTACAGAAAATTTACCTAGTGTGGTAAGTATGCAGCTAGAGATGGCCTTAGAAAAAATACTGTAGGTTGGCCAGGCATGGTGGCTCACGCCTGTAATCCCAGCACTTTGGGAGGCCGAGGCAGGTGGATCACAAGGTCAAGAGATGAGACCATCCTGGCCAACATGGTGAAACCCCGTCTCTACTAAAAATACAAAAAAAATTAGCTGGGCTTGGTGGCATGTGCCTATAGTCACAGCTACTTGGGAGGTTGAGGCAGGAGAATAGCTTGAACCCAGGAGGTAGGAGTTGCAGTGAGCCAAGATCATGCCACTGCACTCCAGCCTGGTGACAGTGCGAGAGTTTGTCAGAAAGAGAGAGAGGAAAGAAAAGGAAGGAAGGAAGGAAGAAGGAAGGAAGGAAGGAAGGAAGGAAGGAAGGAAGAAAGAAAGAAAGAAAGAAAGGAGGGAGGGAGGGAGGGAGGGAGGGAGGGAGGGAGGGAAGGAAGGAAGGAAGGAGAAGGAAGGAAGGAAGGAAACTGTAAGTACATTTTTTTTTTTTTTCTTACATGTACTGGTTTATTATAAAGGATATTGCAAAGGATCCAGATGAAGAGAACCATAGGGGAAGGTATGAAGGAAGGGGCCCGGAGCTTCCATGCCCTCCCTGGGTGCGCCACCCTCCAGGAAGTGCCACATGTTCAGCTATCCGGAAGCTCACTGAACCCTGTCCTCTTGGGTTTTTATGAAAGCTTCATGACATCAGCATTCCTTCCCTCAGGATATAGGATGGAACCCTCTCCTGTGAGAGTCTTAAGCGTCACAATTAGAAAGTGGGGAAACATTAGAGTGAAAGTAAGGCAGGAGAAGGTCAGAGGCTTGCTCCTGAGGCCTAACATACCCAACATTATATAAAAAAAAGAAAATATTGTAACAAGGGATATAGGAGTTATAAGCCAGGAACTGTGGACTAAAACCAGTGTATATCATAACACCACAGGCCACTCCCTGGTTTTCCACCATGGTGCCTTTACTTCAAAAATATATATATTATGCACAATCATTAACAATTAATCAAATCCTTCATATTGTTTGAATGTCTTCCAGGATGAGGCCACTCAGGGTTGCAAGTTTCCTCTCAATCTTGTCAGGTCTCGAAAGCAGGAGTGGCCTCAGTAAATACGCAGCTTCACCCTTTAAGGCATCTGGGATAATTAAGCTAAGAGACAATGTCATCTCTTGCTCTGAGACTCTTTTGAGTTGTTATGTAATACTGAATTTTTCTCAATTAATAACTCATTTATTCATTTATTTACTCTCAGCTACTATTTCTCCTTCTCTCCATTAATACCTAAACCTTTTCACCTTTGGAAGAGAAATTAGAACCACCACAGTGCCGGTCTACGTTGCAAGTAGTAATACAAGTCTAGCAATTAGCTCCTCCTCAGTCCACGCCAATTCAGACCGGGTAAGGTTACATAGGTGCAGAACTAGTGAGCTATTTTTACCACCAGGCAATATAGCTGCATTCACTGATAGCCCCAATTTTTCTAGATAGCATGAAGACACAACCCACTCCCATCATGCCTTTGGGAATTTTGATATAAGGTTTCAAAACACAGTTACAGGTTTTTGCTTAGAAATCACCCCTGCTAATCCAGCAGTTGTAATTGCAGTCCTGGTCCTAGGACCACTGCATCAGCCAGGGGAGAAAAAAATAAATTTCTTTTAGGTGATTTGGGGAAGAAAGAAAAACTTACATTTGTTATACCAGTGTACTCGTCCCTTGGCAAGAATGGCATAGTCATACCAGCATCCTCCCAACTCCCTGTTCCCCAGATCAACCAGAAAAACAAAGAAAAAAAATCTAGCAGAAACACTCTAGTCCTGCTCATGTTGAGTGTGAGCAGACAGGAAGGCATGTGAGCCAGCCCTTTGTGCTTTTATCTCCCCCTGTTTTACACAATCAATGTTTCAATTGCCTGCTCTACTGCTCTATCAAACTATTACTCTAGGTGGATATCTCTTTGTCCATTGTTGGACTATTCTTATGGGCTGTACAGTGTGTTCCTTGGTCTGAAAAACTGATGGTTAGCCATCTATATCCATGTAATATCTTCTGTTCCGGTTTTTTATGGCACTCAGAGAATTTTCATCTTCTTCTGGGCAAGCAACATCCACTCCATAGCCAGTGTCTATTCCTGTCAAGACCCATTTGTAGCCTCCAGGGCTACCAGCATTTGTCGCACTTGCCAGCTATGTTCAGGGCCTTCCCACCAGAGAATCTGTCCCAAAGCCGTCAGCAGTCTCTGGCTTTCTTATTGAGAAACACAACAGTTCTTTCTGGCATTTTGTGCCTGAGAAGGTGCAAAAAAACCATCTCTACATTCAGCCCATCTCTGCCCTGTTACAATACCCCCATATCCACTCATTTCAAAGGCCCAGGTGGCCACTTCAAGGGAGTACATGGGGATATCTGCTTGTCAATTCCAGTCACTTTCTGAACCTGGAAGGGAGTTCTTCTGATGGGCATTCACTTGTTCTTCTTTAATGCACCCCTCAAATCTCCATAGAACAGTGCTCCTATGTGCATCCATTTAATAGGCCAAATTTCCATGGCCCTCTTGCCTGAGTGTATGGCCAGGCCATGGGTCACACTGCCCACAGCTCAGTAAACACCCAAACTCAGGGGCTTTTACCATTGATCAATTCTTCCATCACTGTTAGAAAAACAGTGTGCAATTCAGCCCACCAAGCAGATCTGTTTTTACCTTCTTTTATCAAAGTAGCTGCCTTCCAAACACAATGGTGTCCATTTACCTTGGAATTACCGGCCACAAACTAAGTAGCTCTTTCTCATGAGTTGAGAGCCATTTATCAGGCACTGTAGAATCCAGCAGTTTCTCACACAGTTCCAGAGTCAGTCTCAGGAGAAAAGAAACACCCTGCTCAAGAGTATCCCCTCCTTGCAGTTCTTAGGTGGCATGATCCTCGATAAACCATGTCCATTTTATTATGGAACTCTCCTGGGCACTGCCATCCCTGTTAGAATGTTTCTCTGACATCGCTGGGCCAACATGGGTATTTCAGGTGTTAATAGCGGTAGCTTCACCTAACATTTCACAGCAAAGCAGTAAATGCCCCTCAGATGGAAGTTCCATAGTCCAAAGTCCCAGTAGATGTTGCTGGGAGGTGCTCAGAGGCTTTTGCCACAAGATCCAGGAAATAGCATCACAGAGGCTTATCAAGTGGAGAATTTATCCATAACAGCATTCTAGCTTCTACTCTGCACTGTGTGGACTTGGGCAATCTCACTGGTTCCCATTTAGCATGTCCAATTAATATTGCTTGAGGGCAGATTATTACATGCCTTCTGTTTTACAGCACCAGGGAGGAGAAATATTTCCCAATGAGATACTTTGTTCATTCCCACAAAAAAAAAAATCAGGTAAAAGAGATGCAATCACTTCACATAAAGTGTTTTCAAATATACCAACTTCCATAGTCCTATCAACTCTTACATTTTTATGTTCTAGTTTCAGGATCTTCTCTTCTTTACCCCCAGGTCATTTTACCCTCTCTTGTGTAAAAAGCTTTGGGTCCCCAGCCAAGGATTGAGCCCAAGGACCCTGGCCCTTTTATTAATCTTTATCTCGATTAGTCTGCCTGACTGTTGCCCCAGGCAATTTTAGATCTGATTTTTCATTGTAATCTCTGCCTTCCAGCTTTTTAAATTTCTCCAAGCTGGCAGAAATACAGCAGACTGGTTTGCGGCCTTTTAATGTTGGGGAACAAGATGGGGCCCCCTCTGGTCCATCCAACCTACAATAGTGTTGTATTAAGACCTTTGCTTAACCCCATCAATGTCTATTTTATTGATTCTATTTCTTAATAAGCATCTAAAGTTTTCCATTCTGCTGGGACGAGTCCCATGACTCTCCCCTTTCTTTTTCTTCTTAGTTTCACCCCATCAATGTTTTCTTCATTCACCTTATTTTTTAATAACCATTTTAAAATTTCTATCTTCCGGGGATGAGTCTTTGACTCTCCCTTTTGCCTTTCACTGTTCTCTTATTAATTAACCTAATGTTTTTATTAGCATCTGTGAGATCCATGAGGGGAAACTCAGTCCACAAATTTGATAAGGCTTCTTGAACTATTTGAGTCTGCAGGAGTAATGTCACATGGGGTCCCCTTAACCAGAGTATTTACCGTGACCTGGGTAATGGACATATTCACTGAGTGAATATTCATGTCCTCATAAAGCCAGTCACACATGGCTTGCATATGAATTGTATCAGCTGCCTTATGTAAGGTGTTCCACTTGGCATTTATAGGTGGAGTTCAACAGTCCACCTTCTCAAATAGATCTTATAATGGCTTTTATCCAATCTATCAGACTGGCTGTTCCTTGCGGAATAACCTACATATCTGGATCATATATACCCATCTGTGATTGTTCAAATGGTCAGCTGTGGGTCCTATATCAACCCAAACATGCTCTTCACTCTGCAAGATTTGAAACCAAAGACACTGCCCCTACATTTGTCATTCTTATAATCCATTTTAGCAATAGTTCCTCAGGAAGCTGATAACACCATTCTACAAAAATGAAACAATTCCTTCACACTATACTCTCCGGTTTTGTTACCAGCTGTGAATCCAACAGGTCTGCAGCAAACGATTCTTGCCTGCAAGGAGGAAAGAATACATTGGCATCGTTCCAAGGTTTGCATTTCTTCTCCCCTGATTCTTCCCTTGGGGTGGGCTATCTGCATGCACACTGGTCCGCCAGCACTTGGGGAGGGGCAACATGCACACTGTGTTTGCCAAAGTTGTACACATGCTCATTTGAGGCATTTTTTCCTTACCAGTCAAGTTTTCCTAGAGAAAGATCATATACCAGTTAATCTCTGCCATTTTGCTTTTTAGTGGGCATTCTTGAGCCTGTTCACCCAACTCCTGAAATCTTATCAGGAAGCTGCTGATCACCAGTTTCAGGTATTGTCTATTTATTGGGAGACTGTTTTTCCCTGCATTGGCTGTGAACAATTATTATTTTAGAGCAACAGTTTAACAACCAACTAACCATCACCTGATGGTTGCCTGGCATTTCTGGATGGGGCCTCGCTCCTGTCCTGCTCATGCCTACCTAACTACCTACTCTAATAGTTTAAATAGTTACTTGGTTTTGCCCTGCCTTCACATTGACTGTCTTCCACAGGTTTCAGAGGTACTTTCTACTGTCCCTGCATAATTTTCTCCTTTGTGTGTGACTTTGAGGCTAGTGGCCTAACTAAGCTCAGACATGTCCCCATCTGAACTTGGTCCAACTTCAAGTCCTGATGCAGCACCCTATTTTACTTTCATTTTAGCAATTTTAAGTAACAACAACCAAAGAACTGAATATTTTGCTTTTTTCTTATTAGTTTGCATTCCCTTTTGCATCCAGTGAACCAATTCCTGGGGAGTTCTATCCATCTCTAAATTCCGCTGGTAACTTTCACCTGTAGTAACTGATCTCAACACAACTGCAACTTCATATCATGGGTGACCACGATGGTCACCCAGGAATCAAAGATTCCTCATCCTCCCAGCCTTTTAGCCTTTCTCTTCCTAAACCACATGTTTCTGTGAGTGAGGGCTGTTCTAGCAAATCCCATTTCACTGACATCAATTGTGTAGGGGAACTCTCCCTAACTGTGTTTTCTCTCTCCTCTGACAACACAACAGTCATCAACACAGAAGAAGAATTCTATGACCAAATGCATGGAGTTTTTTCCTAACACACCAAGCGGCAGACACCAGCTGGATGTTCTTTAGTTCCATTCCAATCCTATCTACCCAGAGATAGAGTCAGATTCCACAAACTGAGGGCTCCATCCCCAAGACTGCCAACTACACACAAACCAGTTGCAAGTCTGGGCCTCTGGAACTTCTGACCACCGCGCTTCAAGTTGCAGTTCCCATGACCCCTTTTTTGGGTTCAGTTAATTTGCTGGAACAGCCCACAGAACTCAGGGAAATGCTTACATCTACTGGTTTATTGTAAAAGATATTGCAGGCTAGGTGCGGTGGCTCATGCCTGTAATCCCAACACTTTGGGAGGCCGAGGCAGGCGGATAGCTTGATGTCAGGAGTTCGAGACCAGCCTGGCCAACACTGTAAAAATGCCGTTTCTATTAAAAATACAATAATTGGCCAGGCATGGTGGTGTATGCCGGTAATCCCAGCTACTTGGGAGGCTGAGGCAGGAGAATTGCTTGAACTTGGGAGGAGGAGGTTGTAGTGAGCCCAGATCGCACCACTTCACTCCATCCTGGGTGACAGAGCAAGACCTTGTCTCTAAAAAAAAAAAGTAAATAAAAGATATTACAAAAGATACAGATGAAGAGGTGCATAGGGTGAGACATAGGGGAAGGGGCACAGAGCTTCCATGCCATCCCTGGGCACACCGCCCTCCAGGAACTGACATGTGTTCAGCTATCCAGAAGCTCTGGTACATACATTTTGTTATTGCACCTGAAAAGTTGTTTGAAACTAGTTTCATTTATATGCTACAACAGACACTTGTAGACACAGAAGTAAGCCAAAGTAAATTATGGATGAGAAATATTTGCTGAAAGATAAATCATTTTTCTTAGGCTAGTCTGTGATCTTAAAGTTTTCTTCTCATGCTGCACAAGGACATATATTACAAGATAAGAGGGAATATCTACTTTCTATAAAGTCTGTATACCCTCTTCCTGGAAGAGAACACTAAGACATAAGGAGAGATCTTTCCATAAACTTCTTTAATATGGGACTTTATTAATTTAATGTATTTATTAATACATTTAATAAATGTATATGCTTCAACTAAAAGATGGCCAATAGCCAAAGTAAGGAAGAAATAATCAGTAAGGTTTATAATATGCTTTCATTTTTGCCTCTTATCTCAAAATTAATGAAAAGTTTTTCCTTGGCTAGAGTGCTCAGTTCAATAAGCATTTATGTTTCTACTATTTAAAAAAATGATCTCTGTAAGGCTTTATGCTAAAAGATGTCATAGAAAATGCAAAAACAAAAAATAAACAAATTCTTTCCCCCATGAACTAGCACTTGAAACTTTGAGCTTATATAAATTTTAAAACAGAGTGACAGACTTTTCTGTATTGATATCCCTCATCTAAGGAAAAAAAATGCCTTAAACCTTTGCGTACTACCAAATAAGGCATGATTCTCCATTTAAGCAATACTTAGTTTTCAACAGAGAAAATAAAACGTGCTTTATCCAGACTACCCTTGTAAGAGTTTAGAAATCAGATGCTGCTTAAGAACCTGGGACAAACAAACAGAAAAATAGAATGGATTGGTTCCTCGAGAAAAGTTGGTATTTTGCCAAGCTTGCTTTTTTAGAAGTGTTTTCACATCCCTACACTTCTTCAGTGCTTTTAAATTATGCCTAATGGAGATATTCCATTTTTCCTATTTCTATAAATGTAATTTAAGGAAAAGGGTTCAGCAAATATGTTCCTCAACCTTGGAGCTCATAGCCGGTCTTTAGTTTTCCATCTCAAGTATTGTGTTCCTCATCCTGGAAACCACATATATGTTTATAGGTTTGGTAGTATAAAAGATAGAAAGAGGATCCTTGAGGGCTATTCTAAAAACACTTTAATTATAGAATTATTGTTCTTCAAACTCTCCCTGTTTCGTTTTGTTTTTTTCTTGAGACAGTGTCTCATTCTGTGGCCCAGGCCAGAGTGCAGTGGCACAATCTCAGCTCACTGCAGCCTCCGCCTTCTAGGTTCAAGCAACTCACCTGCCTCAGCCACCCTACTAGCTGGGATTACAGGCGTACACCACCATGCCCATCTAATTTTTGTACTTTTTGTGGAGACAGGGTTTTGTTGTGTTGCCCAGGCTGGTCTCGAACTCCTGAGCTCAAGTGATCCATCCTCCTCTGCCTCACAAAATGCTGGGATTACAGGTAGGAGCCACCACACCTGGCCAACTCCTTTCTTTCCTACATGAGGTCAAGGCCAAATGCTCTCCACTTGGAGGCCTTTTTTGATATCTTGCTAATTCTAGGAGGAGTTTTGTGCTTATTAAAATCCAAAGACATAAACCACATTGCAATTCAAAAGTAGAAAGATAGTAGGATCTGGCTGGGCACGGTGGCTCATGCCTGTAATCCCAGCACTTTGGGAGGCTGAGAAGGGTGGATCACCTGAGGCCAGGAGTTTGAGACCAGGCTGGCCAACATGGAGAAACCCCGTCTCTACTAAAAATACAGAAAATTGGCCAGGGGTGGTGGCAGGCACCTGTAATCCCAGCTACTCAGGAGGCTGAGGTAGGAGAATCGCTTGAACCCAGCAGACAGAGGCTGCAGTGAGCCAAGATCGTGCCATTGCATTCCAGCCTGGGCAACAAGAGCAAAACTCCATCTCAAAAAAAAAAAAAAAAAAAGGAAAAACAAGAAAGAAATATACGATCAGTTGGAGAGACATCCTCCTGGCTTCAGATGCACATTGCAAGCAGGCAGGGTTGGGGCATGAAGAAAACTCCTCACTCAAGTAAACAAAGCCCATTAGGTTCACTCGTTACCACAGCAGCCTCTGTAGCCAAGATCTGTGATGACAGCTAAGTTTACAGCTATCACAATATCAGCTATCACCATGTAAAAAGGATTATTTCACTGTCACAGCTCATTAAGAGACAGGCTTGTTATGAGATTTTGGCTTAGATTTTTATTTAGGATGTTTGGATTTTTTTAAATTATCACTTAGATATTATCTGTATCTGAAAAAATTATCAAATACTAAATTAATAAACTAATATGCTGTCTGAGAAAAACAGATTTTCATATCATTTTAATTGCTGCTTTTATGCTAAATAGAATTGATCTTGTTTTCCTTAAAACGGTGCATGCTAATCTAATTGTTACGATGATTATCAGTTTCAATTTTTGTCAGTACAAGTTACCTGTTCCAGTACTCTTCCTTTTAAAGATTTCTCAGTTGTATTATCTGTTAATTCTTATAGATAAACTTTTTAATCATTTCATCAAGACTTCTCTTAGAACAAACATCTAATTTATTTGTTCTACCAAAATATATTCCAGATTATCTTAGGTTAAATATAAATATAAAAATGAGCACCAGAAACAATTGGAAGAAACCATAATTGAATATTCATCTCATCTCTAGGCGGAGAAAGAATTTCTAAGCATGAAAAGCAAAAGAAGAAACAAAATGAAAAGACAGATAGATGTGACTGTTCTTGGCCTTTCCCTTTTTCCTGCATTCATTTTACTAGCTAGGAAATCCTGGATGAGATACTTGCCTTTTCTGTTCCTTTGTGTCCTCTTCTATACAGCTGAGAAATAAACTCAATCATGATGAGATTATGGAATATCAACTGCATGAACTATTAGGCAGACATTTAAAAACACATTAAAGAAGTATAGAAATAAAAAATCCTTTCTGTGATCTAAATAGATTTAGAAGTTTGTTTTGCCAAGGTTAAGGACATGCCAGGAAGAAATGAACATGGAATAACAGAAGCAGTCTGTGGTCTGTGCCTTTCTCCAAGGATGAATTTGCAGGCTTCAATATTTAAAGAGGAAAAGCCAGCTGGAGGGGAAAAGGGGAGAGTATGGTAATCCACAAGCTGCAGAGGAAAATGAACAAGTAGGGGAATTGTCAGTTAAGTATTGATCTTGGGCTCAGTAAATCGGCACTTTACATAAAATAAGGTGAACATGGAGTAGCAGTCAGTGGAGATGTTTAACTTTTATCTGTAGCTATCTGCTTAGGAACAAAAGGAAAGGCAGTTTCTTGCATGACTCATCTTTCAGCTTAATTTTTTTCTTTTTTGGCATAGTGAATTAAGGTCCCAAGTTTTTCTTTTTCATTCACACTGAAATCAATATTTCCATGGTCTTTCTCAATTCTAATGTTATGTGTTGTTTCAAAATAACTGAGTTTATATATATACAGGAAATTCCTATCTTTTATTTTCATTGAGAAATATTTGATCGCAGTGAAATTAATAGAGAAAAAAATTTGTTGATGACTAGTTATCTTACAAGAACATAAGAAAGTAGCTACCAGATTATAATTATTGCTGCAGTTCTTAAAGGGAAAAATGCTTTAATGGTCTCTCCTAAGTTACTGCATTATGTTCTTTATGAGGAAAAACTTCAAAGCATGCAGTGTACACCTAAGGCAACAACCCTCAAAAATCCCTTTAATTGAGTTATGAAGTGCCAAGCCAACTGCATCATGTTGGTGGAATCTTAGAATTTGGCCCCTTGGTGTCATTGTTGTAGGAGTTATTAAGAAATTATTTTAGGCAGATAGAGAGGAAAAGGGGTCCTTGGGAAGTTTTCGTTTTTAAAGCAGCTCTTAGAGCCAGGCTGGCAACCTTTGATATGCAAATGCCATCCATTAGAAACT
The DNA here is from genome assembly GCF_000001405.40 of Homo sapiens. Lineage (NCBI taxonomy): Eukaryota > Metazoa > Chordata > Mammalia > Primates > Hominidae > Homo > Homo sapiens. The sequence goes on along the minus strand of NT_167250.2, from coordinate 83,453 downwards.
GGGTCCACCCAAACATGGCTATTCCCACTGCCATCTTGACCTTGCCCCACACTTCCTGGCAACATGGCCGCCCCCACATATCCCCACGTGGGTAGAACATCATGGTGCCCTGCATTGGCATATTAAAAGGCTAGGGTGGGAGGGCAGGCTTTTTCCTGGGCTATATGAATGACATGCTTTGTCAAACCAATCCCCTGAGCCCTATACAAATCAGACACTGCCTCCTCCAGCCTCTGTATATATACCTGGCTGGTATCCCTGCCAGATGGGGTTCCCTCTCTCGGCTTTGGAGCCCCCCTCCCTCTGTCTCTGTACAGGAGAGCCTCTTCCTTCTGCCTTCTCTTTTCTTTCTTGCCTATTAAACTTTCCGCTCCTTAAAACCACTCCACGTGTGTCAGTGTCGTTTTATCTAAACCAGCATGAGGACGAAGAACTTGGTGTTCCTCCACTCATCGGCGCTGTATCATCATCATGACAACGTTCAAACATTTTAACAATGTGCATATTAATGACTGGTCACCTGCATAATTCCCCTAGAAATCTGCCTACTAATCTCACCACTCACAGAAGCAGTTGTGAAACTGTTGATGTGTGTAGTTATTTCTAAAAAGCCCCAAGACAGATATTAATTATAGTATAAGGGTGGGTGGATGCATATAATTTGGGATTTTAAACTCAGAGATACTTATCTAAAAACTCCATGACAACGAAACTTTGTCAGTGATGCTTTCACACATGCAAGGAAGATTCAACTACCTGGAGAATGGAGGGTGTAGTCACCCCAAAAATAAGCTGGGTTATGCTTTGATTGCAAAGGCCTGGGGCAAATGCTAAAAAAAAATTGTTCCTCTTCGGCTTTCTTTTCTTTGTTTTTAGTGTTGTAAATGCTGAGCAGCCTCATTCACAGTAGTCAGAAAATTTGATCTTTGGCATTGAAATTGAAATAGCAGTTTCTCATTTTCAGGAAGCAAAGAATCTCATTTATCCAAGGGAGAGGCAGTCACTTTTCTGTGGACTGGTAAATCCCTTCCATGTTTACCTGGGAAAGACCTCTTGGAAGTTGTACTTTTGTAGCTAAAATTGTCAGTTTGAAAATATGATGTGACTTAGAAATCTTTTCCCCTGCTATTACAGTAGTGTCATTGACTCGTTTCTAAGAAACTATCATGAAACTCTTATCTGAGGAGCCATTACTTTTTATTACTAAGTTGGGCAGGTTTTAAAACTAGCGACATGGAGCGACAATGTCTGAAATGTAAGTCAGTCATCTTTATTGTTCCAAATAAGGGTTTAAAGCATATAACTATTATAATATGTGATCTAACAAAATGGAAGGAGGGAAAGACAGAGAGAGAGAGAGAATGGCTTTGTGGAACAAATTGTGAGCATTAAGCTAGATATAATAGAGCTGCTGATCAGATCTAGCTCTTCATATGAGATTTCCACAGGCATAAATACTAACTGGGATGGAGTCATCTACTAAATAATGAGTTCATGCTAAAGGAGTCATCCAGACCATCCTTCTTACAGACTTTAAAGACTGACAATTTCTAAAGTCCCTCAAATATGTTTTAATATTCATCTCTCGGCTGGGCACGGTGGTTCATGCCTGTAATCCCAGCACTTAGGGAGGCCGAGGCGGGTGGATCACCTGAGGTCAGGAGTTCGAGACCAGCCTGGCCAACATGGTAAAACCCCGTCTCTACTAAAAACACAAAAATTAGCCAGGCATGGTAGTGAGTGCCTGTAATTCCAGCTACTTGGGAGGCTGAGGCAGGAGAATCGCTTGAATCCTGGAGGCAGAGGTTGCAGTGAGCCGGGATCATGCCATTCCATTCCAGCCTGGGCAACAAGACTGAAACTTGGTCTCAAAAAACAAAACAAAACAAATATTCATCTCTCCTCCTTGCTTTGCAAATTGCAGCTCTCTGAGTTTCTTCTCTACTCTGCAGACTAAATTAGCCACTTCCTTCTCTTTGTCTGCAGAATACCTTATAGATTCCTCTTTTGTAATCATAGCTAATACATATAATGCTTATTCTATGCCTCTATGCCAGCCATTGTTCTAGGTTCTTTTTTTTTTTTTTTTTTTTTTTTTTTTTTTTTTTTTTTTTTTTTGAGATGGAGTCTCTCTCTGCTGCCCAGGCTAGAGTGCAGTGGCACAGTCTCGACTCACTGCAACCTCTGCCTCCTGTGTTCAAACTATTCTCCTGCCTTAGCCTCTCGAGGAGCGGGGATTACAGGCATGTGCCACCACCCCCAGCTAGTTTTTGTATTTTTAGTAGAGATGGGGTTTCGCCATGTTGGCCTGACTGGTCTGGAACTCCTGACCTCAGGAGATCCACCCACCTTGGCCTCCTAAAGTGCTGGGATTACAGTCGTGAGCCACTGTGCCCGGCCCGTTCTAGGTTGTTTACATAGATTAACTCATTTAAACTTCAAGTAATTCCAGGGAAGTTTCTATTACTATCCTCATTGAGGCACACAGATTTTACATAACTTTTCAAAGGTTACCCATCCAGGCCAGGCACAGTGGCTCACTCCTGTAATCCCAATACTTTGGGAAGCCAAGATGGGAGGATTGCTTGAGCCCAGGAGTTCAAGACCAGCCTGGGCAACATAGTGATACCTACAAAAAATTTAAAAATTAGCCAGGCGTGGTGGTGCACACCTGTGGTCCCAGCTACTTGGAAGGCTGGGGTAGAGGATTACTTTAGCCCAGGAGGTCAAGGCTGCAGTGACCTGTGATTCTGCCACTGCATTCCAGCCTGGACAACAGAGTGAGACATTGTATCATAAAGAATAAAGTATGGCCAGGCACTGTGGCTCACGCCTGTAATCTCAGCACTTTGGGAGGCTGAGGCAGGCAGATCACGAGGCCAGGAGTTCCAGACCAGCCTGGCCAACATGGTGAAACCCTGTTTCTACTAAAGATACAAAAAATTAGCCGGGTATGGTGGCACGGGCCTGTAATCCCAGCTACTTGGGAAGCTGAGGCAGGAGAATCACTTGAACCTGGGAGGTGGAGGTTGCTGTGAGCCGAGATCGCACCATTGCACTCCAGCCTAGGCAACACGAGTGAAACTCCGTTTCAAAAAAAAAAGTGGGAAACTGTTAAAGGTTAAAAATGTGAGCAAATCTGACTCCCCTTCAAAAGTTTAACACCTCTTTCTTCTTTACACATTCTCCAATAATTCAGTTCTCTTAAAACAAGATTTCCATCATCTTATACACTGACTACATTTTTCCTTTTGAGTTCTTAATTACCTATGTCTTAGATCAGAAATTCTGAGCCTTTTTTTTTCCTCTTGGCACAGAGACTATTCCTCTAGTAGGACAAGCTGCAGGTAATACATAATTGTCATCCATAGGACTTACTAAAACTTTACCCTTTCCCTCCGTGACTTTTTTTTCATGTCACTCACTCCTTCCTAATATTCTCTCCTAGGTGAGTATCACTGACTCCCATTCCCAGGCTTGGGAATCACTATCTAATACTACTTAACTTTTCTTTGTTTCTGGGTTTTATTCTGTGTGGAAGAAATAGTTATTCATTTCCACTTTTCCATCTATTTCTTCACTAATGATCCTATATAGGATACACTCTGGTTTCTAACAATTCTTTTTTATATAATCCCCATTCTTTTCTGACATTCCAACAGATAAAATTCAGACTTACAAATATTATTTATTAATAATATAGATTTATTTAATCTACCTAACATAATTTATTCTGCATCATATTTTTTAGTATGACAGTTACTGTATTTGCCATGCTAAGACTTGCTAGCTGCTATAAACAACCATCCCAAAATCACAATGACTTCACAAAACAAAATCACAGCCCAAAGTTGGTGAGACGGCTCTTTTCAGCAATTCTTTTCCAAGTGTTAACCAGAGAAGTTCCACTATCTCAGGATACTTTACTGAGAGACAGGGAGAGATTTGTTAAAGGATATAAAATTACAGCTAGATAGGAGGAATAACTTATAATAATCTATACTACTGTAGGATGACAGGAGTTAACAATAATATATAGTTTCAAATAGCTAGAAGGAAGATATTGAACATTCCCAACACAGAGAAATGATAAACATTTGAGCTGATAGATATGCGACTCTCCCTGATCTGATTATTACACATTATATGTATGGAAACATCATTATGTGCATGAATATGTACAATAGTCATAAGACAGTAGAGTGAGTACATGAATGATTGTGAAGAACATTTAAAGAGCCAAGTTTGGAAGTGACACCAGTGAGTTTCGCTCACATTCTATTTCTCATTCATATGATTGCAATCTAACTCCAAGAGAGGCTTTGAACTATAGCAGTTTCCATCTGCCCAAACAGTAGAAATAAGATTGGTGAGCATCTAGGCTGTTTCTGCCACAGTCCTCCTTTCTGGTCATGCATCACCCCTTTTATTTATCTTCCCACACATGAAACATATTCGCCCCATCACTGACCCAAAACTCTTAATCACTGACTGCATCAGCCCAAAATTTAGGCTCTTCAGTTGATATTCAGTCCTTTCCATCTAGATGCGATGCCCCAGGCTCCGGAGACCTATGAACTAAAAAGACAATAAATACATATCTAATTACAACGGTGGAGAAGGGTTACAATTACCACAATAGACGCTTCCATTTAGAAGGGGAAAAAGAAACACAGCAACTGGTTTGGGGCAATTTTAAAATCCCATTGGGCAGACATTGCCTTGGGGACAGGAGAAATTCTTCATTAGGCACTGTTTATGCCTTCTGGAGAGAGTTCTTTTATGCAATGTCCTCACCCTCTGGAAGGTATCCCCCTGTCTGTTATTCTCCTTGACCGCATCTGCAGTGGGAACTGGGGCACATGACCTTTTTGGCAGCTATATGAATGTGCAAGTCTACTGCCTACTGCCTGCCACCTGCTTGAAGGTCTAGGACATGCAGGTTGTGTTAAATTCTGATATCTTACGTGTTTTTTTATTGCAATTTCATGACTCCATTGGCAAAATCATTTATTCAAAATTTTATATTCTTCTATCTGTTTGTTTCCAATCAAATCCACGTGCCAGTAACTATACCAATAGTTTATTCCTAGAAATGATTGTCTAGTCTGATCTGTGTTGCTTCTTTGCCACTGTGGTTCCTCTTTTTACTTAATGGCAGGTATTTTGAGTCTATTTGGAGCAAACAATGTGTAAGGCATACCCTAATCTGATCTTTGCTGTGAGTCCCTTTATCCAACTATTAGTGTCAAGTTGTACTGGACTTCTTTCATTCAAAGCCTTTTGTAAGTCCATTTCTTACCATTTAGGGTTTCAAAGTTAGGACTATTCAACTTGAAAAGCTCTGAATTTCTGTTCTCTCTCTACTTTCATTTCTGTTCATCAATTGGTCAATCTTCTTCTGGGAACATCTCTTTTATTACTACACTTTTCCAAATAAGCCAACGGTCCCAACAAACTCTGCCAACATTTGATTTTGCAAACTCTTCCTCTAAAACGACAAGCCCAGTAGGTACATTTTCTGTCTTGTAAGAAGGTAATAAATTTACCAAAAATTTTACCACCATATAACATAGATCTCTGGTATCTCTCTCCTCACTATCCAGCTAACAGCTGTCAATGTCACGTATTTTAAGTTTTTGTTATGACAGCACCTCAATTTTGTTACTAATTTCTGCATTAATTGGAGTAAAGATCATTAGCTGCTATAAGAATAAACTCCAAATTGTAAGGGCTTAAGGCAACCAAAATTTGTCTCAGGTTTGTGATATGGATCAGGTTGCTCTCTGGGGGACTCTACACCAAGTGATGATGCTGAGAATTAAAAGAGAAGTTGTGAAATGTAAGCTTTCTGTGTACTTAGAAAATTAACCCATCTCTGCCACACTGTGATAGGGAAGAAAGAGACCCAGGCATAGAATCGGAGTGACTATGTATGATTCCTGGCTCTTCGTTCTTACTAAACGTTAATCTTAGCCAAGTAAATTACTGTCTCTTAGTCTTTGCTTACTGATATATAAACAGTATTCGTAAAACCTGTCTTGATAGGGTTATAGAGCTATGCAAGTCAGTTTCATATTTTATTTGTCAAGTATATTAATGCAAGTGACAGAAGCCAATTCTAATTTAAACAGAATTTATTAAAAGGATTTTATATATCTAAGAGAATTGTCAAGAAGAATAAAGAAACAAGTTTTGAAAAAGGGAAGATCAACAATGAGCACTATGCACCAGCCAGATCCACAAGTAAAACCATAGATCCAGGGTCATAAGGGGACTGCTCCCACCATGGCTGAACACTGGATGCCACCACATGTACAGCCATCACCTCAGGCACCAGCCACCGTATGCCACCACTAGTTTCATTTCCACTACTGCCCTGGAACAGGTTGTTGCTATCTATACTGCTGCCACTATCAGAATAGATTCTCCACCATTGCTACTCTTTTGCATCACCAGCTCCCAGTGAAAGTTCAACTGGGTACAGCTGATCAGGTGAGCCTAAGTTACGTTACTGTGCTGTAGTTGAAGAGAAAGATGGGATATAGAGCACATGGCCTTTGGAGCTTCTGTTAAAGATACATATTGCAGAGAATTCCTCAAATATAGGAGGTGGGAAACAGCAACAAAAGACTGAAGTTTACTTTAGGCACTTATTAACCTATGTCTGGCAATTTCTGGGTTTAAGGGATAGAAGTCAGTGAAATAGTTTCTGCCTCTAAAAAGCTGCGTATGGAGGTAAGGTACAGTGATGCGCACGCCTAGTACCAGCTATTTAGGAGTCTGAGGCAAAAGGATCACTTGGGCCCAGGAGTTCAAGTCTAGGCTGGGCAACATAGCAAGACTCTGTATCTAAAAAATAAATAAATTAAATTAAATTAAATTAATAAAAATAAAGCTGTATATTAAAGCATTTTATAAATTAGAAAGATCTCAGAAATTTAAGAAACTATATCTTCTTGGCCTTTTGGCTAAGACCAAGTGTAGACATTAATAATATTGCTATTTTAATAATTTTTTTTTTTTTGGGGGGATGGAGTCTTGCTCTGTTGCCCAGGCTGGAGTGCAGTGGCGCGATCTCGGCTCACTGCAAGCTCCGCCTTCCAGGTTCACGCCATTCTCCTTCCTCAGCCTCCCGAGTAGCTGGGACTACAGGCGCCCGCCGTCACGCCCGGCTAATTTTTTTTTTTTGTATTTTTAGTAGAGACAGGGTTTCACCTTATTAGCCAGGATGGTCTCGATCTCCAGACCTCGTGATCCGCCCACCTCAGCCTCCCAAAGTGCTGGGATTACAGGCGTAAGCCACAGCGCTCAGCCTATTTTAATAATTTTTATATCAATAATATAATACTAAAAGATTCCTGAGATATGTTATTTTTATTCAGATTCATGTCAAGGTGTCCATCTAATTTCAACATTACTTTGCTATTCAAAAATGTAAGAACCTAGATATTTTACCTTCTTATAGAGAATAATAAGAGAAATGTCCTTCTCCCTGAGCTAAATCAGTTATTAACACTCAGTGAATTGAGTGATTGATCTTTTGAAAGTGAGTACTATAGATTATTTTTAGTTGTCTTACTTATAAAATTGTGGCAATGACCTAGGGAGTCTGTGACTTAGCCTGATTCAGAGGGATGGATCAAAATCAAAGGTGGAACCAAGTCTCACAAATCCTACTTCTTTTGGGAACAAACGTGAGGAACCGGTGACAATAATCTGCAACCATCAGACAAATTCCAAAAATAAAAATAAAAATAAGCAGGACCTTATAATTCTGACACAATCAAATCCCAAGGGATTTGCTTATTCAACTGTCTTTGAATTACAAAATAATTATTTTGGAACTGCAAAATTATTTTGAAATGTGATATATTTAAAAATTCACGGCCAGGCACAGTGGCTCAAGCTGTAATCCCAGCACTTTGGGAGGCCAGGGCGGGCAGATCATTTGAGGTCAGGAGTTTGAGACCAGCCTGACCAACATGGTGAAACCCCATCTCTACTAAAAATACAAAAAAATTAGCCAGTCGTGGTGCCTCATGCCTGTAGTTCCAGCTACTGGGGAGGCTGAAGCAGGAGAATTGCTTGAACCCGGGAGGAGGAGATTGCAGTGAGCCGACATGGCACCACTGCACTCCATCCTGGGCAACAGAGCGAGACTCCATCTCAAAAACAAAAACAAACAATAAAATAAAATTCACATGAAGCAACTGGAAAAAAGAAATATTATGATTAAAATGAAGAGAAAAGCAGCAGGAGCATTCATTTACAGAGTGAATACAAACCATTTTGCTCTAATAACCAGTTTCCTTAGATAATCTTTCTGAATTTATTCCTTTTCAATTTACTTAGTCAAAGAAATAAGTAACCTAACTTTTTTCACTGGTTAGAAGGTGAAAGAAACAGACGACAGCTGAATTACAGTCATCACTGCGTGATTTCATAAGCTGTTACTTTCCCAAGTGGTAAAATCTATTCTTCCTTACCATAAAAAAAAATACACATTTCTCCCTTTGAACTTTTTGAAGCACTTTATTCAGCAGCAAAAGACATTCTTTAGATCCCCTGAGATACAAAGGTGGTATTTTCTCCAAGATGAACATTCACTACGCCATCAATTAATCAGTGATGTTAAAACACACTGAATACAATTAACTGTTTTACATGCCAGCATAATACCCTCTTAATAGTCACATTAAACATTAAGAGAATACTATTTCAGCCATTTCCTCTAATAGGTTGTGCTATATACTCCTTTGCCTTCTTTTTCTTTTGTGATTATTCAAAGGAGGCAAGACAATAAGAGTATGAAGCACAGGGTAAGTACAAGAAAATTTTGCGAGGCACTGAACTCCTATAATAATCTTCATTCAAGATCATTAATATAGTAGTTTGAAAAAGATAAAATGAAAGCTTCAATCTAAATAAGTTCTAAAGATAACACATCAAGATCCATAGATGCAATTTAATCCTCACATTATACATTATACTGATTAACAAGGTAATTGCAAAATAAATTCCATGGTGGAAAAATATCAAAATATCAACAATATGTATCATGTGGAAAGGTGAGGTTTTTGATGATCATAGTACGTTCTTTTTTCTTTTGAAATATATTTTCTACATTTATGTATACTAATACTAATAGATATGTCAATTCGAACTTTGTGGCTTATCTCATTATTATCATTTACCTAAATAAAACTAGAATTAAAATATAACTACTGTGGTATTTATCTTCCTCTAAGCTTAGAAAAGATATAATAGCAGGACATCATCGAAAGTGTGAGAATTCAGTGTGCACATGCTTAGACGGCGTTGACTTCCATATACTCCCTTAAAGTTCCCTATTCCTCATATTTCAGATTCTACTACATATAGTTATTTTTAGACTATCAAGTCACAAAATTGAATTAATCACACCCTTCATTTCATTGCACATTTTCAGCGTCTGTGCAATACCCCTTTTTAAATTTTACCTTTCTACTTTTTACTACCTTTTTCCCATGCATCCACCATTCTCACCTCACCCCACCCTTACATATTTAATTTATACCCTACCAGTATATCATTGCTATATTCATTTAGATATATGTGTATCTTTAAAGATGAATTTGGTGTTTCTGGGCATATGCATGTAATATCCTTGAAAGTTATTCTTTTATAAATCTCATATTGTTTATTCCCCAATTTGTCATGATATTTTAAGAGCCATCCAGATAAATATTAATCTAGAACATTATTTCTGAGTGCTGAATATAACTTTATTATGTGTCTATCCCTTATTTTATTTCCCATTCCTCTGTCAATGGACATCTAGACTTTCTCCATTCTTACTACCACAAACATTGCTGTGAAAAATATTCCTAGGGACATGTGCAAGAAACCTAGAAGTGTAATTGCTACATCATTGAGAAAGTATAAAGATAGTTAATTTACCAAGTACTTTCATGTTGCTCCCTGGAATGGTTGCAACAGCTTACTTTCCCTTAAGTTGAATGGGAGGTTTCTTATTTCCCAACATCCTCACCACTGCATGATATTGTCAGACTTTCCAATTGTTTTAATTTGCAGTTCTCTGATTACAGAGTAAGGGTAAGTCACTCTTCGTTTGCTTATGAACCATTTGGGATTCCCAGTTTATTTGTGTATTTTCTGTTTCAATAGTAGAATGCAAACTTCATAGGTGCTGTTGTTTATTTGCATCTCCATTCCTTTCCTGATTAGTTTTAACATAAATTTGTCTAGTCAGTCTTTTAAAAGAAAAGCCAGTTTTGAGTTTTTATAGTTCATAGTTATATGTTTAGAATACGTTGAATGAATGATGAATAAGTAAAAAAGGAATGTCATTTGCTGTGTAACAAACAACTGCACAACTCAATGACTTATAACAACAAACTTTTTATCCTCACTCACCAAGTGCCCACCTACCTGTGGGTAGTTGTGGCTCTGAAGAGGCATATTGGGCATGGCTCCAGCCTGCAATTTGAATGAGGTCTGCAATGAGAGGAAACTGTTGTTTAGATTTTTTAAAACTTAGATTTATAGTTTACGTGTTCCAAATTCCTTTTCTTTAAAATATAGGAAAAAAAATGATACCGAATATTTATGACCCAGTAAGCCTAGGAAAACATCTTGCAAGCTGAGTTGTCATGAAAATATCTTGAGTAAGATTATATTTGATTATTCTCTCTGCTTTAGTACAACTTAATATGTTTTACTTATATTTTCTGACTTTCATTGTAAAGATGATAAGCCTCTCCAATATGGCAAATTATTTTACTACAGAGACTGTCTTAACATAACATCTGCCCAAGGTTTATTTAAAAAAAAAAAGAGCATGTTTCAGAAAATTGCATGAAGTCATCAAACATGTCTTATGTCTCATAGCAGAGTTGCTATTCAGTCAGTATACATGACCATACAAGTTGTTAAAATATTGAAACAATCCTATATACATGGTAAATAGAAGCCACTTTGAGCCCCTGCCCCATGCCTCTGCCCCAGCCCACCAGAGGTGTACTCATAATCCGGACATGAAGGGCACAGCATCCAGGAAGCTGCTCTAGCAGTTTGGCTGGTGTCTATTCTGATTGGTCAGTGCCCTATGTTGTACTAATTGTTATATATTTTAAATATCATGTCTGAAGATAGGAAATAGCGCAAATTCTCATGTACAATGTGTAAATAAACTCATGGGATTTTGTCGGGGGTGGGGGTTGGGCTTTGTTCCTCCAACAAATACGCACATATACATACGACATGCATGACACCTATGTATACGCTCCAAAATCTCTGGGATAAAGAAAGCAATACAGTGTGTCTCTCTTCCTGAAGCTGTTTATATTAAAGATGCCTCTGGCAGTTTTTTATCTAAACACGTTACAAAGCTTCACTTGTTCCACACTTTTCACATCTCTTGGTTAACTTCTGGATTGATTCCTTGTCTTACTTGAGCACATCCTCCCAAAGTGTTTTCAAACAGAATTTTTGTCAGCCTTCTGAGGCCTTGTGTACCTTACAATAACTTATTTCAGCCTTACATTGAATTAATTGGATATAGCATCCTAGCTTCAAATTTCTCTTATTTCAACAATTTCTCTGTCCTCTTTCTATCAAATACACTCAGCCCTATGTATCTTGAGGTTCTGCATTTACAGATTCAAACAACCTGGGACCGAAAATATTCAAGAAAAAACCAAATTAACAATTAAAAAAATACAAATAAAAACCAAAGCAGCATAACAACTATTTACATAGCATTCCTATTGTATTAGGTATCATATGTAATATAGAGATAATTGAATGTATACAGGAGGATGTATGTAGATTATGAGCAAACAGGCCATTTTATATAAGGGAATTGAGCATTCCTGGATTTTACTATGAAGGCAGTGGGTCCTTGAACCAATCCTTGAAGATACTGAAGAAAGACTGTACTAATATCACTCTTTCGTCCTGCAAAATTCTGTCACTGTATCTTACCTTTTCTCTCAGTTTTTTAGCACTGCTTTGTCCTTCCTGAGTCCTTCTAGAAGAGTTGATTGACCTGATCTTTCAGCTCACTAATTTGTATTTCAAGTGTGTTCACTCTGAAAAGCAGTATCTAAAAAACATCTATAAGGTTTATCTAATACCATACTTACTGAGTTATTTCAGTTATTAGGTTTTTCATACTGAATATCTCCAGTTGGTCCTTCATAACTGATTTTTCTGATTCATGTTTCTAATTTCCTCCTTTGGGTCTCTAAAAATATTTTTAGTCCTTTTAAAACAATTATTACACTTTTGAACATTTTTTTCTATCTGATCCATTCATTTGGCTTCCTCTTTTATTTTTATTTTTTTAGCTTCCTCTTTTAAAGATATCTGTTTGCCTACCTTCTTTTCATAATACATACATTCTTCACATTTTGTGATTTTGTTATTTTTTTCCTGTGAACATACAGTCCCTTATGGTCTTGGATGATATTCAGATGATTTAATAACAAGGACAGCATGGACACCAACTAATCCTAACAGAATGCTGAACATATTAGAACAGATAGATGCTCACTGTTAACTACCTGATATGGGCTCAATGACTGTCATCCTAACTTGAGACTATCAGCTAATCATACTAATTAAGTGTACTATTATACCCTGATTAGTATCCTCAGATTACAAAGTTATTGTACCAAAAATCTCCTCCTAAAGACCCAATTCTGATGTCAATTTGATCTAAACTGGTTGACAACATAATTTCTAAATCTTTTCCCTGCAATGATTAAAGTATAATCCAACAGCTTCTTAAGATTTAAAGATAAGATTTTCAAGATCATAAAAGGTTTAACATAAGAAAGACTGTACTAATATCACTCTTTTGTCCTGCAAAATTCTGTCACTATGTCTTAACTTTTCTCTCAGGTTTTTAGCACTGTTTGTCACTTCCTAAGTCCTTCTAGGTAAGGACTAAGATAAAATAATTCCAAGAAAAGACCTCATGCTAGGAATAGTCTGTTTACCATCCAGCAAGAGTATTCTTTTTATTTCCAAATTAGATAACCTGCTACAATCATGAATTATTTTACATAGTTTATTTATATTAAAATTTAATAAAACAGTGGTAAAGTTTATCTGGTACTTTAATACTATTCTCTTTTTTTTTTTTTTTTTCAAGTCAAAGCTGTTTTATTATCATTCACATTATTTCATAGAAAAAGGAATGTAGCAAACGTCAGGGTCAGGGTTGTACATAAAAAATCCAGGTTTGTAGAGGTCGCGTTATTTACATCTGGGGGCAGGGCTGTCCCAGCATCAGGCACAGCAGCTGCACTTGTCCGACGCCCCTTTGCAGATGCAGCCCTGGGCACACTTGGCACAGCCCACAGGACAGCAGGAGCAGCAGCTTTTCTTGCAGGAGGTGCATTTGCACTCTTTGCACTTGCAGGAGCCGGCGCAGGTGCAGGAGTCACTGGCGGCACAGGAGCAGTTGGGATCCATGGCGAGCTGAAGAGGCGGCTGGAGTCGGGACAGGTTGTACACGGGCTCGCTGGGACTTGGAGGAGGCGTGGTCAATACTGTTGTCTTTTTAAACTTTTGCTCAACATTTCAGTATCAGACTATTTCTTCTTTGGCACTTGCTTTCAATTCGCCTATCTTGCCACTAGATGGAGAGGGATGCCACTAGGTGGAGGGTGATGCCTACCACTAGATGGTACTTAAACTTACCTTCTTGCATTCAACAGCCTAAAAGATAGCTGTTTAAGTTTAACGTGTATATACAGGGTCTTGTCTTAATATGGTGAAAAATTAATGTTCCAGTTTCAAAAGCGAACTTATAACATCTTTTTTCCTCTAGGTCATTGAAACAAGAATCCTCTCTCTCTCTATCTTTCTCTTTCTCTCTTTAAATTGTTTTTACAGACGGGGTCTCCTTCTGTCACTCAGGCTATAGTGCAGTGGCATGATCATAGCTCACTGTAGCCTTGAACTCCTCGGTTCCCACCTCAGCCTCCCCAGTAGCTGGGATTACAGACTTAAGCCATCATGCTGACGAGCCTTCTTTAATACCTATGCTAAAACTCCATGTACTTATTTGGGAAGAAAAGGGAAGATGGTTAGCCCCATGAATAGTGACAATAATAATAATAAAGTTATCACCATTTCAGGATGGTGCTGTACATGCCACCTGCTGGAGAAAAAAGATGTGGGAGGTGTTACACTGACAGCCTGAGGGTTCCCCAGGAATTCATTTAGCCTCATTAATTCGGGGAAGGGTAGTTATTCCACCAGCAAATTCCAGCAAGCGAAATGGCAGCTTTGGACATTTGGGCCTCTCTAGTTTCTTTGAGTTATACAGTGCTTCCTTATAGAATTTATTTCCTTCCATGGATCTTACTGTGAGTAGCCAGATATCTAAATCCTGGGCTCATGCACAAGTAACCCCCAGACCTCATAAAATTATACTGCTGTATATTCGTACACTTACATTTCAAGTCTAGCATTTGCATCTAAATTCATTTGGCTGCATCATAATCAAGTCACATAATCTTGCTTTCATTTTAAGTCTTACAGGCTTCAACTAAGTTTAATTTTGAAAACAAGGCAGGGCGCGATGGCTTACGCCTGTAATCCCAGCACTTTGGGAGGCCAAGGCGGGTGGATCACTTGAGGTCAGTAGTTTGAGACCAGCTTGGCCAACATGGAGAAACCCCGTCTCTACTAAAAACATGAAAAATTAGCCAGGCGCGGTGGCTCACACCTGTAATCCCAGCACTCTGGGAGTCTGAGGCGGGCAGATCACTTGAGGTCAGGAGTTCGAGAATAGCCTGGCCAACATGGTGAAACCCTGTCTCTAATTTAAAGAAAATACAAAAATTAGCCAGGCGTGGTGATGCATGCCTGTAATCCCAGCTCCTTGGGAAGCCGAGGCAGGAGAATCGCTTCAACCGGGGAGGCGGATGTTGCAGTGAGCCGAGATCAGGCCACTGCGCTCCAGCCTGGGAGACAGATCGAGACTCCATCTCAAAAAAAAAAAAAAAAAAAAAAATTGAAAACTGTAAAAGGAACATTTTTTTTACTATATACTTGAAAGATCAAAAAAGAAGTGTCTATCTACCAATACAGAGCTACAGTAAGAGGTCACTAGACATTAAGTTATTTATTTCACTGGTAATAATTTTACATGGTTGAACGTTCATGTTAAGTTTCTCACCATGCGAGATGCGAGATGATTCATAAATACATTGCTGGGAAATACTGGGGAAACAGATCGTCTAAAGACTTAATTGCGGCCGTGCGCGAGGGCTAACCCCTATAATCCCAGCAATTTGGGAGGCCGAGGCCAGAGAATCACCTGAGGTCGGGAGTTCGAGACCAGCCTGGCCAATAGGACAAAAACCCCATCTCTACTAAAAATACAAAAATTAGCCTAGTGTGGTGGCGTATGCCTCAAATCCCAGCTACTCTGGAGGCTGAGGCACGAGAATCTCTTGAACCCGGGAGGCGGAGGTTGCTGGTGAGCAGAGATTGGCCACTGCACTCCAGCCTGGGTGATAGAGTGAGACTCCATCTCAAAAAAAAAAAAAAAAAAATCTAATCGTAATTCACTTGTGGTGAGAATTAAAATCTTCAAACTAGCCAAAGAAATTCATAGTTTTTAAATAATATGTCACTTTCCTTTTCAAAAGCATTGACAAATGTATTAATCATGACTGACAATATGGAACAAAGATTGCTGGAAGGAGTATAAACTGGCATAACTTTTCAAGAGAGCAATTTTGCAATCATTATCAAAAATTTGAAAAGTATTCATATTGTTTAGGGAATTTTATTTATTTATTACAGAGAAAATTACGTAACAACCAAAAAATTTAAAACTCAAGGGATGGTTAAACAAATCCTAATACATAGTTCTATTTCCATTACAATCAACATCGAATAAGCTTTCCGTGCCTTAGAGGTTAGAAGGTAAAAACTACGTTTCCCAGATATCTTCGCAGGGAGGGCTGCGGAAGGGTTTGGGTTCCGCCAATCAGATGCACCGTGTGCAGCGGCAGGGCGGCTGCGGTCCTTTTGGATGCTGCCAAGCCAGGCCGAGACTGCTTTGTTCTGCCAATGGCAGCCTCGGGCTTCTAGCGCTTCCACCTGACACTGCTGCCTTTGGATCGCAGGACTACCCATGCCATTTCTGGAGAATGGAAGTTGTTCCTAAACGCTCACACAGCGCCTGCCCCTACAATTCCAAACAGTTTGTAAGCCATCTAATGGTTTGCAGCCAGTGATAAATTCCTTTCTGCCTATTTATTCTGGAAGAGCAGTCTGCAACTGAACCATATCAAATACAGTATCGATATGGTAGAATATGGCACATCAATTTAAAAATCAAGGTTGTTAACTAATATTTAATGGCACAGGGGTAAATTCTGTAACTTTTTTATGGACACAATTTATTTTTCACTGATTTATAACTAGATCACTACTCATGCCAAAAACTATTTTCGTAACGGCCTGTGTAGTCTTTCAGAGCGAACAATTAAACACATGTGAGGAGTTTCGCTTCGTTGTAGGGAAAATTAAAAATGATTTTTAAACACAATACCAAAAGGATTTCCCTCCTTGACTCGGGCGCGATTCTGTGGGTGTACTACCCAATTTATCTCAAAAGGTTTTATTTTTAGGCTTAATCCGTGTATCAACCAAAGTAGCCTGTCTTAGAAATTCAGGCAAATTTGGCTCAAACTTATTTTACAAAATAGTGGAATTCCTGCACTCCTCTGGTTTCAGTAGTGCAACCAATTCTTGGGAAAGAGAAGGAAGGTGAGAGGGTGGCTTAGATATTTTTTCCTAACAATTGAGTGATTTTTTGCTTGCTGTCCCCATTTTTCTTTTACAAAAGGGGAAGGGAACTCTGCCTCTTACCCCTCTGATGCGAATTAGACCACTTCCCTTAGCAGGTAGAAGCAGCACAGTCAATTTTGGTTTTAAATGATTTTTTTCTGCCTGCATTTCACAAGTCTACTGAGTCATTACATTATCATTTGAAAACACTTTGTAATCAGAGAACACATCAACATGTTCTGCATATGTTTGGGATAAAGAATATGCAATGTAGAAAAAAGGTAAAGTTAGTCATTCAGAGGAAGGACTATAAAACATTTTCTGAAAATGCCCTTTTTTGTATTTTTTCTTAACATTTTAGAATATAATTTTAGAAAGGAGCATGCTTTGGACAGACTAGAATTTAGAGCTCATTGTGTGACTTACCTTTGTTGTCCTATTAAATCTTCCCAGGATGCCACTACACCCACTTCAGACCCGTGAGCCTCAAAGTGTCTAGGAGGCGGTTTGATATGCAGACTAAAGTGAGATGTAAGATCACATAGCTCTTGGTTCAAGTTTGAGTTCCTTTATTACTTTAGTTAACCTAAGTGTCTTTTTTTTCTTTCTTATTATGTTGACACTTCAGAGAATAAATTTCATTTTTAAAGATGTTTTATAATGGCATCTTTTAAAATGAGATTATAGGCCAGGCGCAGTGGCTCACGCCTGTAATCCCAGCACTCTGGGAGGTCAAGGTGGGCTGATCACCTGAGTTCAGGAGTTCAAGGCCAACCTGGCCAACATGGTGAAACCCCATCTCTACTAAAAAATATTTTAAAAATTAGTGTGGTGTGGTGGTGCACACCTGTAGTCCCAGGGAGTGCTGAGGCAGGAGAGTCGCTTGAACCTGGGAAGTGAAGGTTGCAGTGAGCCAAGATTATGCCACTGCACTCCAGCCTGGGCAACAGAGCGAGACTCCATCTCAAAAAAATGTATAAATAAATAAATAAGGATTATAATAGCAATTTACTTATAGGGCTATTATAGATTAAATGAGCTAATGCATGCATTTAAATTTTAGCATGGAAGGGTCTAAGGCCCTAAGTGTATGTAAATAGTGAAGAAATTGACCCAAACTGAACTTTTTATCTTTCCTCCGATACTGAGTATTCTGTATTCATTATCTGTGATTATGATGAGGACATCTTTTAGATCAGCAGTCCCCAGCCTTTTTGGCACCAGGGACCAGTTTAATGGAAAACAATTTTTCCATGGACAAGAGAGATGAATGGTTTCCAGATGAAACTATTCCACCTCAGATCATCAGGCATTAGTTAGACTCTCATCAGGAGCTTACAATGTAGCTCCTTCACATGCACGATTTGCAATGGGGTTCACGATCCTATGAGAATCTAATGCCACCACTAATCCAACAGGAGGTGGTGCTCAGGTGGTAATGCTCACTTGCTTGCCTGCTGGTCACCTCCTACTATGCAACCCAGTTCCTAAAGACCATGGACCAGAATCTGTGTCATGGGGGTTGGGGACCCCTGTTTTAGATGCTTTTTTTTTTTTTTTTTGAGACGGAGTCTCACTCTGTCGTCCAGGCTGGAGTGCAGTGGCACGATCTCAGCTCACTGCAACCTGCACGTCCAGGGTTCAAGGAGTTCCCTGCCTCAGCCTCCCTAGTAGCTGGGATTATAGGCTCCCACCACCACGCCCAGATAATTTTTGTATTTTTAGTAGAGACGCGGTTTCACTGTATTGTTCAGGCTGGTCTTGAACTCCGGACCTCGTGATCCACCTGCCTCGGCCTCCCAAAGTGCTGGGATTACAGGCGTGAGCCACTGCACCTGGCCTTAGATGCTTCTTGAGAACATTTGTTATTTACCTCTCTGAGCTGGGTATAATTTTGATTCTTTTAAATTAAGCCATGAGAAGAAAATGTCAGAATAGCAATAATATTACCTACTACTCAGGGATTTAATAATATTTAGAAAATGTAAACTAAAATGGTTGTTACTAACAGCAATTTCCGCCTCAGAAGACATATACAAGCAGTCAGAACACTTCTCTCTTTTGAAGCAATCATCTAGTCATATTCCAAGACCTGACCACTTATTGTGGGCAAAACTTTGTGTCTTCTCTCTTCTCTCTAAAAAATAGAGCCACAGTAAAACTACTGCCAATAATGGTAACAATGTTATTATATTAATTTATATGTTATGTTATTATTATTGTAGCTACTTTTTTGTACTTACTGCTATATGCCAGATAACACCCATGCTTTATCTGCTAAATCTGCCCAGTGACTCTCTGAGGTAGATATTTTGATTCCCATGTACTGTCACAGAGGAGGACACAGAGTACAAAGAGGTTAACTTGATTAATACAATCAACTGAATAGCTCCTAAGTGGCAGAGTCTGGATTCGAACAGAGAGCCCCGATTCTGGAGTTCTTAAAGAGATATAGATAAAATCTTGAAGAGTTCAGCTGCCCACCAACCTAATCTAATCACTAAGTGTTTTATTAATTTCAAACAGGTGAATGGAGTCCCTTGAATTGCTTATCACTTGTTTGTTGTTGTCTTTTTTTTTTTTTTTTTTGAGATGGAATCTCCATCTGTTACCCAGGCTGGAGTGCAGTGGTGCGATCTCGGCTCACTGCAAACTATGCCTCCTGGGTTCAGGCCATTCTCCTGCCTTACCCTACTGAATAGCTGGGATTATAGGTGTCTGCCACCATGCCTGACTAATTTTTGTATTTTTAGTAGAGACAGGGTTTCACCATGTTGGCCAGTCTGGTCTCGAACTCCTGACCTCAGATAATCCATTCTCCTTGGCTTCCCAAAGTGCTGGGATTACACGCGTGAGCCACTGAACCCGGCCATTGTTGTTGTCTTTTTTTTTTTTTTTTGAGACAGAGTTTCTCTCTTGTTGCCCAGGCTGGAGTGCAGTGGTGCCATCTTCGCTCACTGCAACCTCCACCTCCCGGGTTCAAGCGATTCTCCTGTCTCACCTGGGACTACAGGCACGCACCACCATGCCTGGCTAATTTTGTATTTTTTAGTAAAGATGGGGTTTCTCCATGTTGGTCAGGCTGGTCTCAAACTCCCAACTTCAGGTGATCCGCCTGCCTCAGCCTCCCAAAGTGCTGGGATTGCAGGCGTGAGCCACCGCGTTTGGCCCTGTTGTTGTCTCTTGAGGCAAGGTCTCACCTCTGTCTCGCAGGCTGGAGTGCAGTGGCACGATCACAGCTCACTCCATCCTCCCACCTCAGCCTCCCAAATAGCTGGGACTACAGTCATGCAACACCACACCTGGCTAATTTTTTAAATTTTTGTGGAGACAGAGTCATGCAGTGTTGCCTAGGCTGGTCACAAATTCCAATCAATCCTCTTGCATCGTCCTTCCAAAGTGCTGGCATAATAGGCATGAGCCACAGCTCTCCCAGACACTTGTTAAAATGGCAGATTGCCAGGCCCCACGAAGAGCCTCAAATCTGATATCTGGGATTAAGACTAGAAATCTGCATTTTGGACAAATTTTCCTTGTGAATCATATACACCGTATAGTTTGAGAACTTCTGATCGAAAGGATGAATTTCAAACTCCCTACTTGTACATTAAAAACAATGCCTTGGGCAGTGCCTGCTTTGTAATAGATGCTGAACAAATACATATGGGAAAAAACCCAAGGAGCCAGGAAGAGAAGAAAGCAAGGATGACTAATCAGGCTACTTAATTTTTGGATAAAATTAAGTCTTAAGATGAAGGAAAGGAGGATAGACTAGATCCTCTACAGACATTTTGCACATATTAATTTCAAACTTCAGTCAGCTTTCTGCCATATTTTTCTTTCTCCAAAAGGTTAGGAAGCCCTTGAAAAACAAATACAATGATTAACTAAGTGTACATTTAACCACCGAATTTCTAAATGCCTTTCATTCTTTTCTTCTTTTTATTACAACTTTCTCTGCTTGCACTGGCATGCAAACTGGTTATGCTGGTCAAATGAGTCAATTCAGAGGAAAGCGTTAATTTAGATGAGAGCGTGTTTGTGTTGAAATCTTCCAGAGGCACACATAGTCACACGTGCACAAAAAATGTGGCTTCATATCTGTGTTCCAGTCAGTCTAAACAATTTTTTAAATATTCCTGGAAATTTGTCCTGGAAGCTGCTTTAGAAAGTTTGGCACAATTAAGTCCAGACTTACCCAAGTAAGAAGTTCCCTTTCGATTTTTCAACCACTTCCTTCCCCTTATCCCCACCACTGGTTAAAAAGAAAAAAAGAAAAAACAGTGATATACTTCTACCACATTCCACTATTTAGAATAATAGAAAATTAGAGCTAAAACTACTAAAAGCCATGCTTAAAATTTTTATAGCATTTAATGCTTGTAAAGGTAGTTTCATTTCACATGCACAGCTCATTTGATCTTCACAATAACTCTGTGGTTGACATTTTATAGATGAAGAAATCGAAGCCATGTGACGTGCCCAAAGTCAAGGAAAGTTCAAGCTCCATATCGTTTTTCTTTTTTTCCTTTCTTTCCTTTTTTTTTTTTTTTAATTCTTTTTAGACAGGGTCTCATTCTATTGCCTAGGCTGAAGTGCAATGATATGATCCTGGCTTATATCAGCCTCCACCTCCTGGACTCAGGGAATCCTCCCGCTTCAGTCTCCCAAGTAGCTGGGACTACAGGCATGTGGCACCATGCCCAGACAATTTTGCAGGGGGTGTTTTTTGTAGAGATGGGGTGCAGGGGTCTGTCCTGCAGACCCTGACCCAATGACAGATGAATAACGTGCACTGACACAGATATTCTGCTTTGCCAGTCTGGCTGAGCATCCAGGCCACTTACAGACACCAAGAAGAGTGCTGTAAATAGTTGGAACCTCCAGCCTAGACACAGCAAGACTCACATTCATTCAGTAAAGATTAATTGACAAAGGCTTGAGTCAACACCACTAGAGGGTAATTGACATTGCGGACCTCCCGAGTAGAAAGCAATTAAGCACACTAAGATTAGTCTTAGGACCACATGAGTAAACAAGCTAGTTAGATAAACTCCCCCACATTCCTTTGTATCTACTTTAACCTATTTAACTAAAGGTAAAGGGACTAGGCTGCCTTCAGCTAGATCTATTACTGAAGTTATGCAAACTCTCAGGCCTTCCAAGAGGGTTTGTGGCTATGATAACTAAAATTTTTCCCACCAGCCTGACTGAACCCCCACAATGGGGTTTCCCCATTTTGCCCAGGCTGGTCTCAGAACACCTGGGCTCAAGTGATCCACCCCACTGAGCCTCCCAAAGTGCTGGGATTACAGGCATGAGCCACTGCATCTGGCCATGAGTCCAATTTCTTACTGGACAAAGGAGAAAATATAGGAACAGAGAGAATAATTTATATAGAGTTGATTGAATGCTGGTCACTGGTAGAATCCAGAGCTGTTGATATCTTCTGTTTATTCTTTTTTTTCTTCTCTTTACTAAATACTTCTTTGATAATTTTGATGTGACAGGCATTCTGCTGGGGCTCCATAGTAACTTAAAATGTATCTATAATTATAATTGTTGTAATGGAGACAAGTACAAATGCAGTGAGAATGTAACTAATAAATGCAGGTTAGTCACTCAATGCTTGCAGAGCCCAATTAACAAAAGCGAGGTCTGGTATAAACAAAGTGATTTATTTCCCAAGCTAGCTTAGGGGAAGAAGCACAGGAGTCTTGACTTTAAATGTACTACTTTGTTTCTGGAGCAAAAGCAGGCACTTACTTTCTTTTTCCTTTTTTTGTTTTTTCATTTTCTTTTTTCTTTTTATTTTTTTATTTTTTTATTTTACTTTAAGTTCTGGGATACATGTACAGAACGTGCAGGTTTGCTACATAGGTATATGTGTGCCATGGTGGTTTGCTGCACCTACGGACCCATCCTCTAAGTTCCTTCCCCTCATCCCCAACTTCCCAACAGGCCATGGTGTGTGTTGTTCCCCTCCCTGTGTCCATGTGTTTTCATTCTTCAACTCCTACTTATGAGTGAGAACCTAAAGCAGGCACTTTTAAAAGGCAGGAGAGGAAGTGAGCAAGGTGAGGGGTCTGCATGTTAGCTTGGTCCCTTACATACCAGGAGGTCAAGCTGGTGACTTCTGGCATTTTTGTGGGCAGGACTATGATAAAAACTCCCTAGCTGGGAGACAGTAGCGGACATGTTTTTCAATTGTTATCTCTTGAGGTAACCCTCTGGTGGGTGAGAGTTCCATAGCAGGCATGCTTTGGTCTATAAATCGACTGTTAACTCTCAAAGAGAGTTCCGTCTTAGAGTGCATAGATGAACTTACCCTGTAGGGAGCGTCTGGTGAAGGGGATGGTAAAAGGCTATATTGTCATTACTAAAAGACTAAGTAGAAAGTGGAGAACAGGGGTGTATCAGTCCATTTTCACACTGCTATAAAGAACTACCTGAGACTGGGTAACTTATTTTAAAAAAAAAGGTTTAACTGATTCACAGTTCTGCATGGCTGGGGAAGACTGAGGAAACTTACAATCATGGTGGAAGGTGAAAGAGAAGCAAGCACCTTCTTCACAAGGTAGCGGGAGAGAGAGCATGAAGGGGGAACTGCCACACACTTTTAAACCATCAGATCTGGTGAGAACTCAGTCACTATCATGAGAACAGAATGGGGGAAACTGCCCCTATGATCCAATCACCTCCCACCAGGTCCCTCCCTTGACATGCAGGGATTACAATTCAAGATGAGAGTTGGGTTGGGATGCAAAGCCAAATCACATCATTCCATCCCAGCCCCGCCCAAAGCTCATATCCTTCTCACATTTCAAAACACAATCATGCCTTTCCAACAGTACCCCAAAGTCTTAACTCATTCTAGCATTAACCCAAAAGTCCAGGTCCAAAATCTCAACTGAGACAAGGCAAGTCCGTTCTGCTTATGAGCCTGTAAAATCAAAAGCAAGTTAATAACTTCCAGTGTATGATGGGGTTACAGGTATTGGGTAAATGGTCCCATTTCAAACGGGAAAAATTGGCCAAAACAAAGGGGCTACAGGCCCCCGTGCAAATCAGAAACTCAATAGGGCAGTCATTAAGTGTTAGAGCTCCAAAATAATCTCTTTTGACTCCATGCCTCACGTCCAGGTCATGCTGATGCAAGGGGTGGGCTCCCAAGACCTTAGGCAGCTCTGCCCTTGTGGCTCTGGGCAGGGTACAGCCACTGCAGCTGCTTTCATTGGGTGGCATTAAGTCCTGACATTGAGTGCCTGCAGTTTTTCTAGGCACACAGTGCAAGCTGTCAGTGAATCTTCCATTTGGGAATCTGGAGGACAGTAGTCCTCTTCTCACAGCTGCATGAGGTGGTGCCCCAGTGGAGGTTCTGTGTGGGGGCTCCACCCCACAGTTCTCCTCTGCATTGCCCTAGTATGAGCTCTGCATGAGGGCTCTGCCCCTGCAGCTGACTTCTCCCTGGACATCCAGGCGTTTCCATACATCCTCTGAAATCTAGTTGGAGGTTCCCAAAGCTCAACTCTTGTCTTCTGCACACCTGCAGGCTTAACACCATGTGGAAGCCATCAAGGCTTGGGGATTGCACCCTCTGAAGCAATGAACTAAGCTGTACCTTGTCCTCCATTGGCCATGGCTGGCACTGGAGCAGCTGGGACACAGGGAACCGTGTCCCAAAGCTGTACAAAGCAGGGGGGCCCTGGGCCTGGCCCACGAAACCATTTTTTCCTCCTTGGCCTCTGAGTCTGTGATGGGAGGGACTGCTGTGAAGAACTTTGAAACACCCTGGAGAGGTTTTCCCCATTGTCTTGGCTATTAACATTTGGCTTCTCTTTACTTTTGCAGATTTCTGCAGCTGACTTGAATTTCTCCCCCAAAAACAGGTTTTCCTTTTCCACCACATGGTCAGGCTGCAACTTTTCCAAACCTTTACACTCTACTTCTCTTTTAAACCTAAGTTCCAATTTCAGATCATCTCTTTGTGAATGCATATGACTGCAGGCTTTTAGAAAAAGCCAGATCCCACTTTGAATGCTTTGCTTCTTAGAAATTTATAGGCTGAGCATGGTGGCTCATGCCAGTAATCCCAGCACTTTCAGAGGCTGAGGCAGGCAGATCACGAGGTCAGGAGATTGAGACCATCCTGGCCAACATGGTGAAACCCCGTCTCTACTAAACAAATACAGAAAAGTAGCTGGGTGTGGTGGTGGGTGCCTGTAGTCTCAGCTACTTGGGAGGCTGAGGCAGGAGAATGGTGTGAACCTGGGAGGCGGAGCTTGCAGTGAGCCGAGATCATGCCACTGCACTCCAGCCTGGGTGACAGAGCGAGACTCTGTCTCAAAAAAAAAGGAAATTTATTCTTCCAGATAACCTAAATCATCTCTCTCAAGTTCAAAGTTCCACAGATCTCCAGGGCAGGGGCAAAATGCTGCCAGTCTCTGGAGTAAAGCATATCAAGAGTGACCTTTACTCCAGTTCCCAATAAGTTCCTTATCTCCATCTGAGACCATCTCAGCCTGAACTTCATTGTCCATATCAATATCAGCATTTTGGTCAAAATCACTCAACTAGACTCTAAGAAGTTCCAAACTTGTTCCCATGTCTTTCTGTCTTCTTCTGAGCACGCCAGACTGTTCCAACCTCTGCCCATTATCCAGTTCCAAAGTCACTTCTGCATTTTCAAGTATCTTTATAGCAGTGCCTCAAACTCCAGTACCAATTCTCTGTATTAGTCCATTGTTAAACTGCTATGAAGAACTACTCGAGACTGGCTCATTTATTTAAAAAAGGTTTAATTGCTTCACAGTTCCACATGGCTGAGGAGGCCTCAGGAAACTTATAATCATGGTAAAGGGTGAAGGAGAGGCAAGCACCTTCTCACAAGGTGACAGGAGAGAATGAAGGGGGAACTGCCACACACCTTTAAACTGTCAGATCTTTTGAGAACTCACTTCTCACTTTTGAGAACTCAGATCTTTTGAGAACACCATGAGGGAAACTGCCCCCATGATCCTATCGCCCCATGGCCAGGTCCCTTCCTTGACACATGGGGAAGGATTACAATTTCAGATGAGATTTGGGTGGGGACACAGAGCCAAACCATATCAAGGGGAAAAGGAAAAAGAGAAGAGAAAATAATAATAGTTATTCATTCCCTTTTTCTTAAGAAAAATGGGGATACTCGGTTACAGGAACACAACAGAGACAACTAATTCTGTTAGGGAGAGGTTGTCAAGGAAAAATTTCTTGGTGAGATGCAGAATTAGCTGAAACCTGTAAGAAAAAATCATGTTTTTCAGGCAGTGAGTACCCAGAGAACGGTCTAGAAAGGAGCATATGACTAACTCATGGATTTATTCCCATTGTATGTCTCTATAGTGTTGTATACTATTCCTGTTGTAACACTTGCCACCAAGAGATGTAAATTAGCCATTGTCTGTACCTTAGCTCCCTTTCCCCTTCACCCTCACTTCCTCACTGTACTGCAAGTGCTGGAGATGTGAGGTGAGGAGAAGGCTAATTCCCAGATCCCTAGCATGAGTAGGTTAGTGGACAGTGTGGGTAGTGGTGGATCAAGGGGGTACTGTTGAGCTTTTTAAAATTGAGCTAATCATGAGACATCTAAGAAAAGATGTCAAGGAAACAACTGACATCAGGTGAGAAGTCTGACTGAAGTAATCATTCTTGTATAGATGATGATTAAGTCACAAGAGTTGTTGAGCTTGCCAAAGGAAAGCTCTTTACCTTTCAGCTGCCTCAAAACAATCTTGTTTACAATGAGAGGCAGTTAAATCCAAGCACACATTACAGTAGAATCTACAGAGAAAGGTAGCTGTATTTAGATTGTGGTTTTCTCAAAAAGGAGAGTTGAAATATTTATCCTAATGTTCATTATCTACGAATAGAGTTAGGGCAAAGTTCTCTATTTTGATCTATGAGCTATAGAGCAATTGAACATTTTTCACCCAGTATTATACTACGCTTATTATTTTGCGTATTTTGCTATTTCCTTTTTCCTTCATGTCCATCTTTTTGTTTGCAAATAACAAAAAGCAATTCGAGTTATATTAGAGGAAAAGGAAAACTACTGTGAGGGTAAATGTATCTGTCCAAATCGAAGGGTAGAATGCAACCAGGTCTCAAGAACTGCCGCTGAAATCTAGAATGCTTTAAGACAAATGAGATGTGTTTCCCCATTTCTGGTTTCCCTTTGCATATTTTTATGCTTCTATACTGGAAGATAAATCTTATTTACTACTAAGTCCACATAATGGTCAAAAAGTGACTGCCTGTAACTTCAAATTTTCATGAGTTATAGTTTCAGCCACACAAACAGGATGATTTCCAGTCTGATTCCCTTTCCAAATTCTGGGAGAAGTGACATTGAACCTATTCCCATCCCTATTTACTCTCATCAGCTGTGGCCAGGATATCCTATAAAATCATACATATATAGCTATGAGTGCTGTGTATCTGAGGGGCAGTTAAGCATAATGGTGTGCTGAAGCTTGCCTGTAATGACTTATAAGAGCCAGTTGTTAAATTTTTAAAATTTTTGTAGACTGGTTGTTAAACATAGGGATTATTAAAAAATAAATTATACAAAGTTAATAATATTAAGTATAGTTAAGTAAACTATATTAAATACAAAAGTAATAAATATTCAAAATTCACCACTTCCTGATTCTTTCAATTATAACTTAATATTATTTGTTCTTGAGGTTATTTATATTTACAATTATTGCACCTGTATGGTGAAAATACTATAAAATTTTGTTACTTCTCATTTCTTCCTGTGTTCAGTGATGAGATGTCACATAGATAGTTTGAAATTGGTCATGGTAGGAGTAATTACACCACATAAATTGACAAACATTACAAATAAGTTTTGTTTTATTTTGTTTTTCTGGAGAGCTGGTTGTTAAACATTTACCAGTTCACTACTGGTAAAAGGAGTCATTGTCAGAAAACACGTTTTACCCCACTACAATATCTACTACTTCTACTATACTAGAAGATAACTTCCTTCAAAGTAACAATAACACATTTGCTTGCAATGTTATTGTTTCTTCCACAGTATTTGGCATTCTAATTAAGTTATAAGAAAGCTGATACATGGCTTGGCTACCATGATTAGAATTTAATTATTCATGACACTTCTAAAAAGCCCTGCTATCAGAACATTTATGTCCCCTGCCTCCAAAATCCGTTTGTTGAAATTCTAAGCCCCAAGGTGTTGGTATTAAGAGGTTGGGCCTTTGGATGGTGATTGGATCGTGACAGAAGAGCCCTCATAAATGGGATTAGTGCCCTTAAAAAAGCGGCCCCAATGAGCTTGTTTTCCCCTTCCAAAATATGAAGACACAATCTATAATACTTTGTTATAGCAGCCCCCCGGAAATAAAACATACCCACATACAAATGTTGTTTTTGTTTCTTTTTCCTGTTTCAAACAGTATCTTACTCTGTTATCCAGGCTGGAATGCAATGGTGCAATCATTGCTCACTGCAACCTCAAACTCCTGGGCTCAACCACACCCAAGCAACTTTTTGTAGAGACAGGGCCTCATGTTTACATTCTACAAGCATTTTTTTTTTCCAGAGATAGGATCTGACTCTGTCTTCCAGGCTGACATGCAGTGGCAGTGTCATACCTCACTGCAGCATTGAGCAACCTGGCTCAAGCAATCCTCCCACCTCAGCCTCCCAAGTAATTGGAACTACAGGCATGAGCCAACCACACAATCACACTCAGCTAAGTTTTTAAATTTTTGTCGAGACAGGGCCTCACTATGCTGCCCAGGCTGGACTCTGACTCACGTGAGCACAGGGATGACTCTGAGTTCTGTCTCTTGTTCACAAGGAATTTCCTTATGGGAAAACTGCAAGGGAAGCATGTAGCTTTTTAATTTTTGTAGCTATCTTATTTAGGAATAGAATGGGAGGCAGGTGTGCCCATTGCAGTTCCCAGCTTGACTTCCCTTTGGCTTAGTGATTTTTGGGTCCTGAGATTTATTTTCCTTTGACAAGAATAAAGTGAGTTTTCTCAGGTTGATAATAATGATGATCAATTGCTGAAGTACTTAGCACTAACATGCATACACACAACAGGTTAGTGATAAGTACTTCACATATGACTTGATGAAGAAAAAACTATTGGATTAGCTATCCTAGTTAAAGAAAACAAAATGAGGTTCAAAGAAGTAAATAATTTGCTCAAAGAAGTAAATAATTTGCTCTGGGTAGCAGAGCGAGGATTCAAGCCACATCCCTAACTCTGGAGCCAGGGCTCTTCACCTCTGTGTTACACTTCTCCACGTTCACATAGCTTCTAAGCAGTAAATGTTTGCTAAAATGCTAATCTTATTTATGCCCAAGCCCATACTCCTAAGCAATGAGAAAATGTATGACAGATTATATTTTCAAGTGTGTTTCGACCCAGTCCAATATTTTCAGATCTGAATTGATTCTTCAGAATTTCTTTTCTTCTTAGCAACAGGTCCTGAGGACTGCAGTTTACTTGCCTCTTCTCTTTGGAGTAGTCATCCTGGAAATCACCTCTGAGAAGTCTTAGAATCACTGTCCCACCAGCTCTAATCTTCTTTTCTCATCCTGAAGTTATGCTAAACACATTATTTATTAAATGGTGGTGGTGGTGGTGGTGATCATCTTTTTTTTCCTCTGGTGCCTGTTTTGGTAATCTCTGTGGTATAAGGAGACAAACGTCACATACACAAGAAATTGCAAAAGTTGTAGAAATCTAAATGTTCTTTCTACTTTGCAGTTTTTGACCTTCTTTCTTAGGTTGTATCTTAAGGCCTCACTAGATTCTTTATCATCAAAGTGGTATCACAAAAACTTTGTCCAAGAAGAGGGTCAGAGGGAAATTGGGTGGAAATGTGCTTCTGAATGTCTACAGAGACATTAAGTGAAAGTACATAGGATTTGCACCCCACTTCCTGTTTGGAATTTTGGAAGCAGAGTGCCTAGAGCCAATGTGAAGGCCACAGTAGAGTTAAAATGGTTAAGTAGCATGTTTAAGCAGGGGGAGCCTAGGAGATTGTCTCTTGGTTTCCCAAGATGTGAAGAGAACTAGAAATGCCCATGTAACTCTGGAGGTGTGTGCAAGTTAACCATGGACTGAGTGAGTTTTTCTCCAAGGAGTCACCACTGCAAAGGCCAGTGCTAGGGTCAAATGGAGTATGCACATAAGTGAGTCTTGAAAAATCCACAGTACCAGCAAGAGCTGAAGTGAAGAATCTGGTCAGCCTGAGGAGATGGTGGGTTGTGATCCTTATAAGAAACTGCCATACATTGGCTGGGCCAAAAGAACAGAGCATGAGTTACAGCAGTCTCATACACTTCAAAACAGAAACAGAAACTGAAGCCTAACTACCAAGAGAAATAAGATGCACTCTTATTATGCCTTCAAGTTCCAGGAGAGAAGGAGAACATTTGGGTCAGTCACTCTTCTTAGCTTGGGTAATGTTCTCTGATTGTCTGCTTTGTATGAATCAGGATCCTATCAGAAAACAGCATGAATGCCAATTAGGGGGAGTTTAATAAAGGGACTCTTTACAAAAGTGCGGGCAGAGTGTTAAGAAACTATACAAGATAGTGCCTTACTATCCCAATTAGTCAGCCTGGGCTTCCATAACAAAATACCACAGACTGGATGGCTTAAACAACAGAAGTTAATTTTCTTACAGTTTTAGAGACTGGACAGTCCAAGATCAAGGTTCGTTCTAACAGGGTACAATATCTGGTGAGGGCTCCCTTCCTGGCTTACAGACAGCTGCTTTGTCCTCACATGGCCCTTCCTTGGTGCCTGAATGAGAAGAGAAAGCAAGCTCTCTGGTGTCTCTTTTAATAAGTACATTAACCCAACTGGATCAGGACCACACCCTTATGAACTCATTTAAGTTTAATAACCTCCTTAAGGTCTTATTTTCGAATATAGTCATATTGGGGAATAGGGCTTCAACATATGAATTTGGGGGTGGATGGGAGTTCATTCCATAGCACTACCCTGGGCCTGGATGGGCAAGTGGAAGGCAGAGTTACTAGAGCCCAGATAGAATAGATGTATAGATAGGGTTGAAAAGGAATTGAGGTCATAGATAGAGAGACAGAGCTACCCTATGTTAACCCTACATAGAGGGAGCCATGAAAATAAATAGTTCAAAACCCTTACTTTCTTCCTATCTTCAAATGCCTGAACTCAACCAAAACTGAGAGAAGATAAACGATTATTGTGTAGTCCCTATGAATGAGATTCTTAAGGAATAGAGCAAGGTGGAAAATTGATCAGGGTGGCCACAGATATCCAGCACACCCTGTATCAAGATGCCACCAAGAAGCCGGCGTGATGGCTCACAACTGTAATCCCACCACCTTGGGAGGCCGAGGTAGGCGGATCACTTAAGGCCAGGAGTTTGAGACCAGCCTGGCCAACATAGTGAAACCCCATCTCTACTAAAACAACAAAAAATTAGCCAGGCATGGTGCCGCGCACCTGTAATCTCAGCTACTTGGGAGGATGAGGCAGAAGAATGCTTGAACCCAGGAGGAGGAGATTGTAGTGAGCCGATATCATGCCACTGCACTCCAGCCTAGACAACAGAGCGAGACCCTGTCTCAACAACAACAACAACAACAACAACAAAAAGACTAAATGTTTACTCAGAAGAAACTTTGTTCCTAATAAAGATAACAAGTCAGGCGCTGTGGCTCATGCCTGTAATTCCAGCACTTTGGGAGGCTGAGGTGGGCAGATCACTTGAGGTCAGGAGTTCGAGACCAGCCTGGCCAACATGGCAAAAACCCATCTTTACTAAAAATACAAAAATTAGCCAGGCATGGTGGTGCTTGCCTATAGTCCTAGCTACTCGGGAGGCTGAGGAAGGAGAATTGCTTGAACCCAGGAAACAGAGGTTGCAGTGAGCCAAGATCGCACCACTGCACTCCAGCCTGGGCCACATAGGGCATACTCTGTCTCAAAAAAAAAAAAAAAAATCCCTTATAAGACTGTGATAAGAATTAAGTGAGGTAAAATATAGGCAGCACACAGAGCAGATTGGGCACAGTCAGTACTCAGAAAATGTCAGCTACCGATATTACTCAAAAGTAAGCAGAACAACTTCAGAATTCCAGAATTCTATAAATATCTCAGGAATAATTAACCATGTTTTCCAAAAAAGGGCCTTGTAAAATGTTATCTTTTTTTGGAAGTACTTATATTTTGATAGTCTATTTCCTGTTATGAAACTCAATAAACCAATATAATTGCTATTAAAGGATTCAAGGCTGCATTCTGTGGTACATGTAAAAGCTAAATGAAAATTTAACATTGACATCCTACTGTGGAAGAAAAGGCTTAGGTACCTGGTCTTAAATCTGAAGATTAATACATTTCCAAATTTAAGAATACCCAGTGATATTTAAATATTCCTTTTATTTATTTTTCAATTAAAAATATAATTGGTGTTATTGTAATTAAATCACAAGCTGTTTCAGAATGTTAAATAAGATAATATATGTCAAAAAGAAGTTATAAGTAAATGTATTGGTAAAATGTTAGTTATTTTAAAACTACAACATATGCTAAATTTCACAGGCAGGAACTTGGCACAACACAAATGACTCTGCTGCATTACACTGTTAAAGAAAATCACAGTTGAATAGTAGCTAGAGCAGAAAAAACAAATTTTATTTAGTAAATATTGCAATGTAGGAAAATAAACCTCAGTATGGAATTGGGCTCAATTCTGAATACAGCATGAACAAGGGGAGATTTATAGCAAATGAACAGGGTTGGGGGTCAGTGGATTGAAAATTACTAAGAGGAAACATTAGGGGTGTCTTTGTCCATTTTGTGCTGCTGTAACAGAATACCTGAGACTGGGTAATTTATTTATTTATTTATTTATTTATTTATTTTTTTTTGAGACGGAGTCTTGCTCTGTATGCCCAGGCTGGAGTGCAATGGCGCAATCTCGGCTCACTGAAATCTCCGCTTCCCGGGTTCAAGCGATTCTCCTGTCTCAGCCTCCTGAGTAGCTGGGATTACAGGCATGAACCACCACGCTTGGCTAATTTTGTATTTTTAGTAGAGACGGGGTTTCTCCATGTTGATAAGGCTGGTCTTGAACTCCTGATCTCAAGTGATCCACCCACCTTGGCCTCCCAAAGTGCTGGGATTACAGGCGTGAGCCACCATGCCTGGCCCAAGAGACTGGGTCATTTATAATGAACAGAAATTTATTGGTTCATAGTTCAGAAAGCTGAGAAGTTCAATGTCAAGGTGCTGACATCTGGTAAGAGCCTTCTTGCAGCATCATTCCATGGTGGAAGGCAAAAAGGCCAACAGAGGGTTGAAGTCTCCTTTTTATAATATCAGTCCCACTTATGAGGGTGGAGCCTTTATTGCCTAATCACCTCTTAAGGGTCTCACTTCTTAATACTGTTACAATGGCAATTAAATTTCAACATGATTTTGGAGGGGACAAACATCCAAATCATAGCAAGGGGTAAGAGGAGATTCTTGCTAAACTGATTTGATAGTATTCTTTCTAAAGGCAGGTTAGGGTGATCAGATATCATCTGGGGGAAGGTAGAGAATAATGAATTTGATCAGATTTTGAAGGTGACCAGATACCAAAAGCAAGGGACTCTTACTAAAGTGACTTAGCAGGAGTCTAGCTAAAACTGAACAAATAAAGACATGGAAGCCTAAGGTCAAGGTCTAGTTGACAAAAGGTATCAGAGGAGCCTGACTAAGTTTGGTCAAGGAGAGAGTCTTTGTATTCATCCACGTAACCACCACAACAATCAAGATATAGAGCATTTCCATCTCCCTAGAAGGTTTCTCATGCTCCTTTGCCATTAAACTTCCCCAACATTCTTGCACCTGGGAACCACAAATGTGATTTATTTCTTAATGACTAGTGTCATCTCAACCATATTGTGTCCAGCATCTTTCACTCAGCATATATGTGAGATTCATCCATGTTGTCATGTGTAGTTTTTGTTTTATTGCTGAGCAGTATTTTGACTGATAAATATGACACAATTTGTTTTTGTTAGGAGGGGAAATATTGGGTCCTATGATAAGTACTTGTTTAGATTCATAATAAATAATTACTACTGTTTTCCAAAGTGGTTGTACTATTTTATATTCCTACTAGCAAAGTATAAATGCTCTAATTGCTTCAGATCCTTGCCAACATTTGCTATTTTCATTTTTTATTATGTATTTATTTATTTATTGACACAGGGTCTTACTCTGTCACCCAGGATGGAGTGCAGTGGTGTAATCAGGGCTCACTGCAGCCCTCTCCTCCCCAGGCTCAAGAGTTCTTCCCACTTCAGCCTCCCAAATAGCTGGGACTACAGGCATGTGCTACCATGCCCTGCTAATTTTTAAAATTTTTTGTAGAGATGTCTCACTATGTTGCCCAGGCTGGTCTCAAACTCCAAGCCCAAACAATCTTCCCGCCTCAGCCTCCCAAAGTGCTAGGATTACAGGTGTGAGCCACCATGCCTGTGCGACACTTGCTATTTCCAATCTTATTAATTTTAGCCATTCCAGTGGGATTGAAGTGATATTTCATGATGACAATGATGTGATAATTGCCTGTTCAACACATCTTCTATGATGAAGTCTTTTGTCTATTTTTTCAAATTGGGATATTTGTCTTTTTACTGAGTAGCAAGTCCTCTCTCTGTATATATCCTACGAGTCTTTTGTTGGACAAATGTTTTGTAACTATTTTCTCCTAGTCTGTAATGTGCCTTATTCACTTACTTATTCATTTAGCATCTTTTAAAGACCATAACATTTTAATTTTTTGAGCTGCAATTGTATTAATTTTTAAAAATGTTAGGACTTGTGATTATTTTATATGAGAAATCTTTTCCTACTCCAAGGTGGTAAAAATTTTCTCCCATGTTTTCTTCTAGAAGTTTTAAAACAACTTTTATATTTAGACCTATCATCCATTTTGAATTAATTTTTGTGTATTATGTAAGGTAGGGGTCACGGTCATTTATTTCCATATGTATATCTAATTGCCTCAACACTATTTGTCGAAAAGGCTATCCTTCTACACATTTCAATTATGTTGGTACCTTTGTCAAATTCAATTGACCATAATATCTGTGACTCTACTTTTGGACACTGTGTTCTGATCTATTGATGTATTTGTCTTACTTTACATAAATACCACACTATCTTGATACCATAAGTTTGTAGTAAGCCCTGAAATCAGGTAATGCTAGTCCTCCAAAATTGTTGTTGTTTTCCAAAATTGTTTTCGATATCCTATATCCATTACCTTTCCTTGTAAATTTCAATTAACAAGAAACTCAATATTGTGAATTTCTGTTAAAAAGCACTGAGGTTTTGATTGGGATTGTTCCAAATCTATAGATGAAATTAGGTAGAATTGACATCAATATTGCCCAATGCTCTTGACACTTTTTATTGCTAAATTCCACTCATCTCAATTCACAATTCGTTATCATCAGTACAAAAGGAACTGCCTTCAGAAGCATTATATTTCTTTTTACTACATATTGAAATAATTTTTTGGTAATTATTGAGGTTTTTTAAAAAAAATTTTATTGCAGTAAGAACCTTGAACATGAAATCTACCCTCAACAAAATGTTAAGTGCAGAATACAGTATCATTAACAGCAGGCACAACATTGTACAGCAGCTCTCTATAACTTATTTGTCTTGCAGAAATAAAACTTTATACCTGTTGAACAGCAACTCCCCATTTCCCTTTCCCCCTAGTCCCTGGCAACAACCATCTTACTGTTTCCGTGAATGTGAATATTTTAGATACTTCATAGAAGTGGAATCATGCAGTACAGTATTTGTCCTTCTCCGACTGATTTATTTCACTTAGCAGAACATCCTCCAGGGTCATTCATGTTGTTACATACAGCAAGATTTCCTTTTTTTATTTTTATTTTTATTTTTATTTGAGACACAGTCTCTCCTCTGCGGCCTAGGCTGGAGTGCAGTGGTGCGATCTCGGGTCACTACAACCTCTGCCTCCCAGGCTCAACCGATTGTCCTGTCAGCCTCCTGAGTAGCTGGGATTACAGGTGCGAGCTACCATGCCAGGCTAACTTTTGTATTTTTAGTAGTGATGGGGTTTCGCCATGTATGCCAAGCTGATCTCCAACTCCTGGCGTCTAGTGATCGGCTTGCCTTGGCCTCCCAAAGTGCCGAGATTACAGGCATAAGCCACTGTGACTGGCCGATTTTCTTCTTTTTTAAGACTGAATAGTATTCAATTGAATGTATAAACCATATGTTTTTTAACCCATTCATCTTTCAACAGACGTATAAGTTGTTTCAAAAGATACCAGGTTTTGGCAAGGATACGGAGAAATTGGAATACTTATACACCATAGCAGGAATGTAAAACGGTGCAGCGACTATATAAAAAAAAAAAAGAGTATGGAAGTTCCTCAAATATAGAACTACCATATGATCCAGCAATTCTATTTCTGTGTATATATCCAAAACAATTGAAATCAGGCTCTCAAAAGAGATATCTGTACTTCCATGTTCATTGTTATATTTTTACAATTATATTGTGATGATCCCTGAGGTCTGAAGAGGATTTTTGGCTGCAAGTTTTTAGTTCAGCATCTTTACCCAGAAAGTTATTTCCACCCATAGCTAGGCCAAAAATCTGAGTCACTCAATACTACATTTTCTGGTTAAGTTCACCAACAATAATTGTTAGAACAATCCATCTTTCCTGAACTACAGAAACAATAAAAATAACAATAGCTCCAGCTTATTGATCACTTAACTGCCTTTAAAAAAATCATTTGAAACATTATAGCAATCCTTTGGAAATTATTTCTAAATTCCCATTTATTAAGATACTAAAGATTAGAAGTTAATTTCTCTAAGGTCTCATGCTATTGAGAGACAGAGCTGGAATTTGTACCCACGTCATTATGACTGCAAAGCTTACTCTCTTAATCACTACACAATAGCTTCAGACCAATGTTCAACATACCTAGAGTTCATCCTTTATAACCTCAACAACTTTTCCTATTTACTAACATGACTGAATTAAAAACCGCATTTTTTTACAGCTGTGCTCTTAGTTTAACATAAACTTACTTCATTTTATTTTTTGAGACAGGGTCCAGCTCTGTTGCCCAGGCTGGAGTGCAGAGGCGTAATCATGTCTCACTGCAGCCTTGACCTCGCCGGCTCAAGCAATCCTCCCACTTTGGCCCCCAGAGAAGTTGGGACTACAGGTGTGCACCACCATGACCAGCTATTTTTTATTTTATTTTCTGCAGAGATGTGGTTTCGCCAGGTTGCCCAAGCTGGTCTTAAAACTCCTGAGCCCAAGTGATCCACCTGCCTTGGCCTCCCAAAGGGCTGGAATTACAGGCATGTGCCACTGCAGCTGGCCCCATAAACTTATTTTAATAACAAAGATGCAAATATGGAATTCTATTTACATTAAAAATTACTCCTTAGTTCTAATAGGACAAATGTAGAATCAGGGAAAATGGCATTTTGATATCTTCTAAATTACTTGGCTGTTTTCTTATGCTCTTCTTTACAAAAAATTATTAAAGGAAACTCAAATATGCAAAAAAGTAGAGAAGAGAGTATAATATTAACTAATGTATGTGGAAATCAAAAGGTATCTGAGGCAGGTCTCAATCAATTTAGAAAGTTTATTTTGCCAAGGTTAAGAAAGAGCCCATGACAGCCTCAAGCTGTCCTGATGACATGTGCCCAAGGTGGTCGTGCACAGCTTCATTTTATACATTTTAGGGATACATGAGACATCAATCACCAGCTTGACTTCTTCCTTTGGCTTAGTGATGTTGGGGAGATTTTCCTTTCACATATGTATCGCCCAGCTTCAACAATTGTTAACTCATGGGTAGACTTGTTTAATCTATTCTCCTACCCATTTCGCTACACCTGCCACCAGTTTGATAAATCCCAGATACCATATAATTTCATTTGCAAATATTTATTACTATTCTTATTATTATTTTGAGACAGAGTCTAGCTCTGTTGTCCTGGTTGGGGTGAAAGTGGCACAATCTCAGCTCACTGCAACCTCCGCCTCCCGGGTTCAAGCAATTCTGCCTTAGCCTCCCGAGTAGCTGGGACTACAGGCGCATGCCATCATGCCTGGCTAATTTTTGTATTTTTAGCAGAGACGGGGTTTCACCATATTGGTCAGGCTGGTCTCAAACTCCTGACCACAGGTGATCCGCCCGCCTGGGCCTCCCGAAGTGCTGGGATTACAGGTATGAGCCACTGCATCTGGCCTGCAAATATTTTCATATGAATCATGAAATTATAAGAAATTCTTTAAAAAGCAAAACTTATTAAAACTAAAAATACAAATAGCAATTCCTCAGGATCATCAGATATTATTTAATGTGTGTGTGTGTGTGTGTTTGTGGCGTGTGCGTGTTCGTATATTCAAATTAGTGTTCAATTAAGGTCCTAGAAATGGGGCCACTCCTGGTGGCTTCACACCTGTAATCCCGCACTTTGGGAGGCCGAGGTGGGAGGATTGCTGGAGCCCAGGATTTAGACACTAGCCTGGGCAAGATGGCTAGGTGTTAGCCATCTTGCGGAGATGGTATATCTCCACAAAAAATGCAAAAAATGTGTCGGATGTGGTGGAGCATGCCTGTAGTTCCAGCTACCTGGGAGGTTAAGGTGGGAGGATCACTTGAGCCCAAGGTTGCAGTGAGCCATGATCACACCACTGCACTCCAGCCTGTGTCACAGTGAGACCACGTCTCAAAAAAAAAGAGGTACCACATTCTAGACTTCTAGACTACTTGTCTTTCCCTGAATATGCAGTTAGTTTGCCAGTTTGTCTTCATATCACGAAGTTACTTAGTTACCTTTTTCAGATTTTTCTTTCCCTTATAACTCAGTTATAGTTCAAGGAAGCAAAATTAGATTGTTTCCGTTGGACAATGAATCTTAAGCAAGTTTCTCTTGCAGATTTTACCACACTATGTAGTTATGTATCTACTGGTCATTTATTCTGTAGTTTCGATTCCTCGATGGTCTGCTTAAATCAATTTTGTGCCCCAGGGCCTTGATAACATGTTTAAATTAGTTATTAATTACAAAGACCTATTATGATACAATTCTTTCCCCAATTAAAAACAAAACTAGGCCGGGCGTGGTAGCTCACGCCTGTAATCCCAGCACTTCATCCTGGCCAACATGGTGAAATCCCGTCTCTACTAAAAATAAAAAAATTAACTGGGCGTGGTGGCGGGCGCCTGTAGTCCCAGCTACTCAGGAGGCAGAGCCAGGAGAATCGCTTGAACCTGGGAGGCGGAGGTTGCGGTGAGCCGAGATCGCGCTGCTGCACTCCAACCTAGCGACAGAGCGAGACTCCGTCTCAAAACAAACAAAAACTAGCAGGCTTTTGTGACTACAAACAAGCTGGTTGCATGCTGCACTGCCTTTGGGTAAGAGTGGAACTCCAACTAAGAAAGTACATCTGGTAAACATAAGGGATTCACCCAGACTTGTCCTAAATAAGACTCCGATTACCCGAACTGAATCAGGAGTCCTTTAGAGCGACTCTAGCTAAGAAGGCCTGTTAGGCCCTGCACTAAGAGTTTCAGGTGGGAAAATTGCGCCATCCAGTTATAGGCCGTACAGCGGGAACTCCATGAACAACCTGGGTAACCTAATCCCTGAATAAGACTCCTTCCAGGTACCAGTGGGCTGAGGGCGGCAGGGCGACGCGCTGACGTCACGTCACGTTCCTTTGCACGTCCCCGCCTCCCCGCCCCTCTCCGCACTGTGACGTTCCCAGAGAGGAACGAAGCGTAAACAGCGCAGGGCATTTCGGGAGCGGGATTGTTTCGCGCAGGAAGCAGGCTCCATTTTAGCGCCGCCCGCCGTCGCCATCTGTTTCCCTTCCCTCCCCCATACCTAGCCCGAGTCTGAGCCCTAACGAGAAGGCTGGGCCTAGGCCGCTGGATGCTGGAGTGAAAGGAAGGGAGAAAGGGAAAAAGCGGGAAGAGTCGAGAAGGCTGAGTGTTAAGAGGCCAAGTGCGACGCGCGTATCCGGGCAGACGGACTGACGGACGGGCCCGTGCTTCTGCCGCGGCTGCGGCGCCCGCGCGAGTCGCGTCTAAGCGGCGGCGGCGGTGGCAGCGGCGGAAACCGAAGGGGAGCCATGGCGGCTGACAGTCGGGAGGAGAAAGGTTAGTGCGGAGAAAGATGACGGGCCGAGGCGAGGCTGGGGCCCGGGAGTGGGGTGATGGAGCAGTGGTCGTCGTTGGGGGTGGGGGGTGGGGGTTGGGGAGGTTAGCTGGCCTCGCGAGGAGCCGGTGGCCCCCACCGAGACACTTAGACTCTGGCGGAGACCAGGCCTGCCCTTTCGTCCTCAGTCTCCATATGGCCTAGCACTTCATCTCAGTAGGGTTTTTCTTTGATGCGGATTTCACGCTTGACTTTCCGTTTAGCTGTCTTGGGCTGAGAGGGGCCCTTTCTGAGTTGCAAGCTCCTAGGTTTATTTCCTGGTAGGATCATGCGGATGTAACGCGTATTTTCAGGACAACCATTTCTGTTAGGCTAAAATTTGAAAACCCCTAATGCCGCGATCAACACTGGTGGTGTGGTAAGTGAGCAAGTTTAGGAAGTGGCACTGGCAGGTTATTAATCTTGAGAAATATCTGCAAATAACTTCTGGCTGTTCCTGTTAAATAGGCAAAGTGAATTACCCGTTTTGTTCCTCGAATACTTATTTTGGAAAAACATAGTACTTGGAAAAAGGAATACTTAGTTTGGAAAGATGACTGTGTGACTTAGGCTGGCAAAGAAATCCTGGGTGCTATTATGTTAGAAAAACCGTGTGTAGCTCCCAGAGGGTACAGTCAGAAACAAATGAATGCAAGTTACAGAGAGTTGGAGGGATAAATTTCAGTGAAATGTAGAGAGAACTGACGTTGCTGTAATGGAAAGATAGTAATACTAAGTTCCCAAGCCCTAGAGATATTAATGTAGGTCCTAGATCAGTGTCTCTCTGGAGAGTGGTCTAGATTAAATGCTGCTTTAAGATCTTTTTCAACCCTAAGATTAACATAATAGTCTTGGAAAGATTATAGTTAAAAATATGACACGGTCGCTGCTCTGTGTCTCACACATCTCTTCTGTGTGCCTAATTGATTTGGGGTTTTTTTGTCGGGGGTTGTTAAGTGGGCTCTAGAGTCAAGTTACATTAGGCGTGTAATCCTTTTTTCTTAATTTTTCTGGTTTCTGCATCAGGAGAGTCTTCATGCTTCAATGAACTGCCCTAGGTTAGGGACAAGCTGGGAAAGTGGAATGGGTGGGAATACTTTTAAGATACTGCCCTTATCCTAAAGTAGTTCTTTGATTAGGTTATAGCAGTTTAATGTTCCATCCTTAAACTAAATGCTAAAAAATCTCCCTGGGCCTTTTTTTTTTTTTTTTTTGAGAAATCCAGAAGTAATGGGAACATAGGATTGTATGGTGTTAGTGAGTAAAGGAAAATGCTTTTAATTAGTTAACTCAGTTATTAAAATACATGATCTTAATTAGTAAGTATTCAGCAAACATCTGATTGTCTTTCTAATTTATGAACTGTGGATATGGGAGTCTGTAGTGGTTGTGGTGGGCGAAATGAACCAAACACAAAAATGAGTAAAATTCAGTACTTCTCAAGAATTCGTTGTCTAAGATGAAAATATTTACAAGTCGTTAATAGAGTAGACGCAGTAATGCACATTGAAGAAGAAAAGTAGATGATTTTAAAAGTTTTGCTT
The DNA here is from genome assembly GCF_000001405.40 of Homo sapiens. Classification (NCBI taxonomy): domain Eukaryota; kingdom Metazoa; phylum Chordata; class Mammalia; order Primates; family Hominidae; genus Homo; species Homo sapiens. Next base: position 41,786 of record NT_167250.2, on the reverse strand, counting down.
TAGAAATGATTTAGTGATGATAATGCAGTCCAAATACATAAACTGTGTAGCTATTACTGGGAAGTAGTGATATCACCTGTTGTCTATACATAGGATACATTTCCCCACTTTTGAAAAGGTTCTTTGCCTCACATTTGCTTAGTTTTTTTTATTTAATTTTCATAACTTTATTTAAAAACTTGATGTAAGTGCTTTATCTTTATAGTTTAGAACAAAGATTGTTTCTGGACTACACGGAGAACTAGCACTTACCTACTGGAATTGTTTATTTCGTTTTGGGAGAGTTCTAGGTAACCTACAGGTTGTATCATTTACTTGATGATCATCATCACACACTTAGCTTTATAGTTAGAATCAATACTTAGGTCTTCCTCTCTTAAGGAAAAGTGGGACTCTTAAGCGCTTTATTGTCTTACATGAAACAGGAAATTATAAGGATAAACCCTCTAAAAATCTCAGTCATGTCACAAACGTTAAGTTCTTTCTCAAATGATTCCATAAATGGTTTAAGATCTTGATAGCAAATGAGTCTATAAGTTGCAGAAATTGGCAATTATATTAATCACAGAACAGTAAAGACCCTTGTTCATAGAGTTCTTGATGGGGTTTTGCACTTATCTGGGTAATAAAGACATGAATTTCTATAATCTATAACAATGCTTCAATAATACTCATACCTAGAAGCTGCAGCCCATATAAGTGGACAGATTGCTAGCTCCCTGTGATTCCTGTGGTGATAATTTGCCCAAGAAACTGGATTTGAAAGGTGTTGCAATGTTGGTGTTAACTAATATTAAATGCCATTTTTCTATATAAGGAGGAAATATGCATCTTTTCTATTATTGCAAACACCTTGTATAAATTGTATTAATCTTTTACAAAGTTCTCTACAAAGAACAGTTACAAAAGTTTAATCTATCCAAAATGTGTATGAGTAATGTGTAATGAGTTACTGTGTTAAAAATAACGTGTTTTCTAGATTACCAGACTAGAAGCTCCCTGAGTGCCCGGAGTACATCTGTCTTGTTCACTGGGTTCTTTGTATACAGTAATTGTGTTTCAGTACCTTGAGTATTTACCAGGTTGGACTTCATTGACTGACTGGTTAAATGACATGTGCAGTATGATAACGAAAGCTAAGAGTTTCTCAGTTTAAGTTATACAACAGTTCTCCCCTGACCCCCAACCTCTACCAGCCTTATTTTCCTGGTAAATACGTTCTAAGATCCACAGTGGATACCTGAAACAATGGATATTACTATATCCTATCTATACTATGTTTTTTTCTATATGTATATACCTATGATGAAGTTTAATTTATAAGTCAGGGACTGTAAGAGATCAACCACAACAATAATAAAGTAGAACAGTCATTACAGTATGCCATCATCACTACTCTTGTGCTTTGGGGCTATTATTAAGTAAAATAAGAGTTACTTTGAACACTGACACTGCCATATGTGGACAGTTGATCTACTACCCGAGACAGTTACTAAATGACTAATGGCAGGTAACATATGCAATGCAAATATTTGTTGACCAAAGGGATGATTCATTTTCCAGGCAGGACAGAGTGGGACAGTGCGTAATTTCATCACACTACTTAGCGCACAATTTAAAACTTATGAATTATTTCTGGAATTCTCCATTTTTATATCTTTGGACAGTGATTGACTCAGTTGACTGGGGGTAACAAACCCTCAAAAGCAAAACCTTGGATAAGTGAGGGACTACTGTATATATACACACAGTTGTTTTCAGACGGCTTCTGTCGCCTAGGCTGGAGTGCAGTGGAGCAGTCACGGCTCACTGCATCCCCAACCTCCCAAGGGCTCCCTAGTAGCTGGGACTACAGGTGTGTGCCACCATGCCCAGCTAATTTTTTATTTTTAGTAGAGACGAGGTCTTCCTATGTTGCCCAGGATTGTCTTGAACTCCCGGGCTTAAGCAGTCTGCCTGCCTTAGCCTCCCAAAGTGCTGGAATTACAGGTGTGAGCCACCGTGCCCAGCCGTTATACAGACGGTTACATGCAGGTGTGTGTGTATATATATATATATATATATATGTACACACACAGTCATGTGCACACACATGCACACAGTCACGTGCACACAAACACAGTCGTGTCATTTAACAATGAAGATGGGCATTGTTAGGCGGTTTTGTTGTGTTATCATAGTGTGTTTACACAAACTTAGGTGGCATAACCTACTACATATCTAGGCTGTATGGTATAGTCTATTGTCCCTAGGCAACAGATCTGTTGGGCGTGCTACTGTAGGCAGTAGTAACACAATGGGAAATATTTGTGTATCTGAACATCAAAATGATGACTGTGCCACAACATTTGTATATACTATGTGTATATACTATGGCCCTCACTATAGTAATTTCTTAGGATAAAATTGCCTGTCTTGGTTCACTTTAGTTTGGGCTCTGTAAGGCATAGAGTACATATTGATACTCCAATATATTTATTTTACCTATAGTATAAGTAAGGTAGAAAATTTAAAATGATATCTTTGCACTTAAATTGTATGTTTTTATAAGAGCGGTTTTGGATGGGAAATCCAAGTTTTTAAACTTCATTTGGAGGAATGACGATTTTCAATGACAAAAACTGAGAAACTGGTCTAAATGTACAACGTACATTACAAGACAATAGAAGGGGGAGGTTCTAGTAATCTTGCTCCATTGCCAAGTCCCACTAAAATTATATTAAATGAATTAAAATATAATTTATTTTGGTACCTTGTGTTAGAAAACAAAATGTGTAGTATATTTAGTATTTAACTTTCCTTAAATACTAAATCTTAGTCTGATGCTGGAACCTCACATGTTAATAAATAGCACTGTCTTCTGACCCAGAAGCTTCTGCAGTAAAAAATGACTGTCCCAGATAAAGGTTAATTTTCTACCCTGATATCCCTAGAGTTAAAGTTTGTGACCTTCCTGGCCAAGAATGTAAAGATTATGGTAAATTTTAAGTTCCCATGTTTACCTAAAACAAAAATCCCCCAGCCAAGCAACAAACAGCTAGCTTTGTTATTTCTAACATCTTGTCAGTTTTTGAACAGGCCTTAAAAATAATGATTTTTTTTGTTGTTGGCGGGGAGACAGGGTCTTACTCTGTTGCCCAGGCTGAAGTGCAGTAGTGCGATCAGGGCTCACTGCAGCCGCGACCTCCCAGACTCTGGTGATTCTCCCACTTCAGCTTCCTAAGTAGCTGAGACTACAGGTGCGGTGCACACCACTAATTTTTGTGTTTTTTGTAGAGATGGGGTTTCATCATGTTGCCCAAGCAGATTTCAAGCTCCTGAGCTCAAGCTATATGCCTGCTTTGGCCTCCCAAAATGCTGGGATTACAAGTGTGAACCACCATGCCCGACCTGTTACTCTTTTTATATCCTTGTTTACTTCCTGTATCCTGGGAATCTGTACCTTTACCTCAAAACTCATTTTGCTATTAGTTTGTGTATAATATTAATACAAAACATTCACACGTGATTATACTTTCACGGAGGAATCTAGCAGCCAACTGTGGAATCTATCAGCCAGCTGTTTCATTTTTAATTGAGGCAGCACTGAAGAGTCATGCAATTCCAAATAAAAATCTGGGTTTCAGAGTCCTCTTGAAAATGTGGAAGATCTGACAACACAGTGCTTGCAACTGTCAAGGAAGTTAATCTTCTGGAGTTGAGTAGGATTGTCCCCTTTAGCTTTCCTCCTCTTTCCCAAAGTATTATATACGGTATACTAAAACTAGTTTGATGTTCCTGTGCCTTAGTGTATTAAACTGAGCCTTGGGTTTTTTCAAGTTTAAGATCAGTGTTATGCAGGGGTTGCAGATGTGTGTGCATGCCAGAATCTGGCAGATAAAGATAAAGTACTTGCTTAATACGTTAGGTATCATGAGTTTGTTTTTTTTTTTTTTTAAGAGCCAGCATGCTCTTTGTTCAGGTAGTAATACTGATTCACCAGATACAAACTCATTCACCAGATACAAACCCAGATTGTCTCATGCAAAACTTTGACATATGTTACCTTCTCTGTGTCTTAACAGAAGACTAGACTCTTCCAGCTGGTTGTTTTCAGGTGAGAATCTGGGCCCCTAATAATCAAATAGTATTTTTTTAAGTGGGTTTTCATATTAAATCCTTAGAATTTTTAAAAACAGCATTCAAGAGCTGAGTTTATCCTCTAGACTGCTAGTGTAAAACTTTTAGATAGATTTGAATTTTAGCTCTAAATGTAAATACTGTTTAATGTAGGATTGTTTCATTAAGCTTATTTCTTGAACTGGCACATTATAAAAAAATCCATCTTTTTGTGACATCTTAATTTTGGAACAAAATTTTATAGATTTTAACCTGAGGTCAGGAGTTCAAGACCAGCATGGCCAACATGGCAAAACCACTTCTCTACTAAAAATATAAAAATTTAGCTCGGCGTGGTGGCAGGTGCCTGTAATCCCAGCTACTTGGGAGGCTGAGGCAGGGAGAATTGCTTGAACCTCAGAGGCGGAGGTTGCAGTGAGTTGAGATCATGTCACTGCACTCCAGCCTCGGCAACAGTGAGACTGTCTCAAAAAAAAAAAAAATTTTTTTTTTTTTTTTTTTAAAGATTTTAAGTGATTTTTTAAGGCCGGGCACGGTGGCTCATGCCTATAATCCCAAGACTTTGGGAGGCCAAGGCAGGTGGATCACCTGAGGTCAGGAGTTCGAGAACAGCCTGGACAACATGGTGAAACCCTGTCTCTACTAAAAATAACAAAAATTAGCTGGGCATGGTGTGGCGGGCCTCTGTAATCCTAGCTACTCGGGAGGCTGAGGCAGGAGAATCACTTGAACCTGGGAAGTGGAGGTTGCAGTGATCCCAGATTGCGCCACTGCACTCCAGCCTGGGTGACAGAGAGAGACTCTGTCTCCAAAAAAACAAATTAAAAAAAAAGTGATTTTTAATGTCTATAGTTCTCTATATAGACATCTAAAAAAGGCTTTCAATGTGAAGTGCTTTATGTCATAGAAATTAGGATTTTTGTAGTGCATGAATTGTATGCTTATAGGCCTTTTCTTAACCTGGCATTTCTAATCTTTGTTTACTGTTGTTATTCTTGGGTTGGGATACTACTGTCAAACTATTATGAAGTAATTGAAAGTATACATATCTCTATATAGAATATCAATAATGTTAAATTTCAGGACAAAGGAAATGGTTAAAAACGTTTGTTCAGGTAGGTTAAAAGAAAGTCAACCTAGAACTAGTGGATATTACTTTATATCTAAAAGAGATAATTATTTCTTTTCAAAAAGGATATGCCAGTGATGATTATAGTCTTTAACAGCAGTAGCTTGTGAGAGTATTAAAATGTTTCTTCTTTTATAATTCATTCTACGTTAAAAAAATGAATTAAAATGTATGCAAAGTGTACTTTTTCAAGTCAGTGAAGAATATGGCCAGAAGCAGCAGTTTACATTAGCTTTATAACTTAATACTATAAGCTTTAACATTGACCTATTTAAATGAATTTTTGTTATTAAAAATGCACCTCAAGTATATAATTAAAATATTTACCCTTAAATAAAACTATAGTAATTTTGGAAACATCTGTCATGTATTATGTATGACACTTCTGTCAACAGTGATTGGAATATGTGTCCCCTCTGTTTGAAGCTAGGTAAGCTTTTGTGATGAATAAATACTGTGATGGTGTTGCTGGATTTCTACCTGTTCCCGTCTCTGTTGGGACACGAGAGTCCTAAACTACCATGTAAAAGATCTGCCTACTCGGTGGTTGCCATAGTAATGAGTAATCACACACACAGAAATGTTGGAGAAGCTCCAGCTTTGAATCTTCCCAGCCTAGACATCAACGAGACTTGTCAATGAACAAGCCTTCAGATGATTTCAGCCCCAGCCCCAGCCCCATTTGACTGCAGCCACATGGGAGACCCCGGTTGAGCCCTGGAACCATGAGCCATAATGAAAGGTGTTACCATTTTAAGTCAAGTTTTAGGGTGATCATCTTATACAGCAGTAGATAATCAGAACATGTATGCATATACCATACCTGTTTTGTTGAAGAAGGAATTTTGTTTTGTGTTCTGGACCAGATTTTATATATATCACATAGCCCAGTCATTAGCAAGAGGGTTGGGGCAGGCAGGTTTTATTAAAGTCCAATAGTTATAAGGAAGGAGAGTCTTCTTACAGGTTGAAAAACTCATAGAAGATTCAAATGTCCTGCTTTTCCTTTCCCCAAAACTGACCTTTTTTAAGTGCCTCTTATCAGAGGTGAAGAATCTTGAACTCAGAAAGACTGGGAATTTCCTGATACCTAAATGCAAGCTATAACCTGCATTTCCTTAACCTCCAAGACTTTTCCCCTTGTATATTATATTCCAGTGTATATATAAGGAGTTTCAGTGATGGAGAAAAGTACTTAAAATTTGGTCATTTGTATTATATCAGGGGTTGGCAAAACTCTTTGTAAAGGGCCAAATAGACTTTGTGGGCTGTAAGTGTTCTCTGACATATTCTTTGCTTTTTTTTTTTTCTTGTTAATAAGCGCCTTAAAAACGTAAAAACCATTCTTGCAGGCCATTCTAAATAGGCAATGGGCCATGTTTATCCTGTAGGTTTTAGTTTGCCAGTTTGTGGTAAAACCACACAGTTTATTGATGTTATGGACTATAATACGGATAAAAGTGTGTACATCATTTAAGTGAGGGTGTTATAGTTGATTTTGAATATTTCAGTAGATTTTAAATGTTGTAATGTTAAAGATATAGAGCTTTCTGGTGCACTAATTTGAAATTTATGTTCTAGTATATATGCCCTTTTAATATTTTGCATTTGTGTTCTTTATACTTTGGTTAAAGTTGCTTTTATTGTTCCCCATCTGATTTAACTGTCAATTTCTAAAGCCGGAACTTCATACTAATATCCATTTGTTACTAGACAAGTGTATTTGGTCAACTGGAACATTTGAGCTTCTCTTTCTTTATCTGCAAAGTAATGAATGATTAAACATGCTCTATTTTATATGATTTGTATATATGATATATTTTAAAAGTGATAAAATTTTAAAAGTGACAAAGTATTTTTAAAAAGTAGTAAGCATTGGTTAATATTTGTTGTCTTGAAAAAGGTTGTAGGTGCTTTCTAAAACTACAACCAGTATCTGAATTTGAATTCGTTAAAACTTTAAAACAGTAATACCCCTTTTTATAGGAAAACCAGGCTTTAAGTGTGTTTGAAACTTAAATTTATTTAAATTAACATTCTGCAAAATTATTTCATTCTGTATTAAATTTAGCATGTCTAAAGTATATAATATAAATGTTCAGGGTTCGGGGATGATATTTCTGAATAAGATCTAGTGATTTTATGAAAAGATTTGTATAGCATTATTTGCCTGTTTCATTGTGATAGTCTTGAAATTTTTTCTTTTTGTCTTCTACAAATGTATTTGATTCTGTGAAGACCTGTTGGATCTACTTTTTTACTGATTAGTGAGCTTTGACCCAGTACTTATTAAACATCTGTAAAACATTGATTTACTTCTATCAGACTATTTTTTTTATAATTTAGAGTCCGAAAATGGTGTTTGCCACCATTCAGATCTTGAAGAAATTTTTCTTAGCAAAAACATGAATCTAGATGATGAGAGAAGCTTTTTTGTTTGACATATCTTGATTTTAAATAAGATTTTTTAAAAGTAAACAAAAATAAAAACCCATATAGCCTGTTTTCATTTTAGAAAAATGATAGAAAGTACATATCAGCATTGGTACCACCCAAAATGATCAATTTTGCTATTCCAGACATAGTAATTTTCAGATATCTTTAGATTGTGTCTGTTTCCAAATGTAAAGGAAAATGATATCTTTTCCATTTCCTATGTAACCTTATCGTTTGTATTAACTATTCTCTTCAGTCACAGATTTCTTTCCCACTTTGGGGAAAATTTGAATCCCATTTAACCTGTTTATAGCCCCCAGGTTAATTAATAGACCTTTCTGTAATTCATGTGGGCTTTGTTTTTTTCCTGAAGCCACAAATGTAATTGTTCTGTCTCATCAGTTTTCATGGCTTTATACTTCCTCTTTGGCACACCTTAAATTTGGAAAGATGTTTTTGATATTGGAATAGTTAATGTTTAAACATTTACTATTAGCATTAGTACATTTTAAAATTTAAAATGGTATTTGTGTGTATTTCTAAGGTTTATCTTGTTGGACAAGGTAGAAGTGGGGACAAAACTGAGTTTTATGCTTTCATGATCATTGAATAAAGTCATAGTTCCCTTCTCTGAACAAGTTTTGTGCTTTTACAGTCCACACCAGCAGGCTCTAAATGTTTTTTTTATTATATAGCACATTGATAATTTTTTCATTTAACTTGCAGTTTGACATAATTTCAGATAAGCATAATAGCTACAAGTGCAGTGTGAAGAATTTTCTTTTACTCTCCAAACACATTCTGCAGATGTTAGCATTTTGTCACATTTGTCTCATTCTGTGTGTCTGTGTGTGTACGTGCATGTGTGCACACTTTTTTCCTGAACCATTTGTAAGTTGTAGACATAATATATCTTTGTCCCTAAATACTTAAATATGTGTTATAAGGACTTTGACTTAACCATAGTACAGTCAAAATTAGAAAAATAACATTGCTACTTACTCTGATTTACAAACTTTATTCAGATTTCACCAGTTTTTCCAATTATGTCCAATATTGTGGGCTGTGTTCAGTTATCATGCCTCTCTAGGTCTGCTTTGATATGAAATAGTTCTTACTCTTTGTTTCATGACAGTGACATATTTGGATGCCCTTTAATTTGGGTTTGTCTGATTTTTTTCCTCATGTAGGTTCAGCTTTTCCATTTTGCATAGAACATTACAAAAGCATTGTTCTATTCTCAGAGCATTGTTACAGGAGGTCCATGATGTTGATTTGTCTCATTACTGGTGATGTTAACTTTGATTATCTGGTTAATTTGGCCTGTGAAACATTTCTCCACTGTAAAGTCGTTTTCCCTTTGTAATTGTGGAGAGTGCACATTTTTGGTAAATGTGTATTTATAAGTTGTACATACGTATTTGTATACTAATTTATTGTACACATTTTAAAGCCCTCAGAAATATTAGAAATTAAAGAATGAGGTAAAAATAGAGACATTCTTGCATTTTCTTTTTATGCCTCAGTATATCTTTTCATGCCTTCTGAGATGTATACTCCTGGCTTTGTAGACCAGATAGCCCAGACTTCTGTTTGTGTGTGTGTGTGTATTTTGAGAAACTCACTCTTATCGCCCAGGCTGGAATGCAGTGGCACAATCTTGGCTTACTGCAACCTCTGCTTCCCAGGTTCAAGTGATTCTTGTCCCTGAGCCTTCTGAGTAGCTGGGGTTAAAGGCATGTGCCACCATGCCCTGCTAATTTTTGTATTTTTAGCAGAGCAGGGTTTTGCCATGTTGGCCAGGCTGGTCTCAAACTCCTGGCGTCACGTGATTGGCCTGCCTCAGCCTCCCAAAGTGCTGGGATTGCAGGCATGAGCCACCACGACTGGCCAATTCTTTACCCTGTATTAGTTTTATAGAAATTAATCTTGTGTCTTGATTCTGAAATAAAAGTAAAGCTTTTTATATAAAAGTAAAAGCTCCTAGGCGCTTGTGGCCTCACACTTAGTAAGTACTCAAAAATACATGTTCAATGATAGTGATTTTTCCCTATTAATTTTTAATTTTATTTGCAGATGGAGAACTTAATGTTCTGGATGATATTTTAACTGAAGTACCAGAACAAGATGATGAACTGTATAATCCAGAGAGTGAACAAGATAAAAATGAGAAAAAGGGTATGTAAGAGTTCTATTATTTTTGTTGAAATAACAGTATAAATAGAGGAGATTCAATTTCTTAAAAAAAATGACTGTGCTTTTTTGTGCTTGTTCCTTGAGGCAGTTAACACTAAATGTACATAATAAACTGGTATCCATATGAATAGGGATAATCTGTTTTTTTCTAATATATGAAACTTCTCAAATATATGGTTTTATTCCCATAGTTGAAAGCTATGTTTTCTTTTAGATTAACTCTGGAGAAGAAATCTCTCAGAAGACTTTTAAAGAAATGAGGCCTATCCCCCCTTCCTGATGTATATATTATTGTCAGTCTTTGGTGAAATAAATGGAATACTACAAATACTTCTTTTTTTTTTTTTTACATTGTATTTTAAAGGATCAAAAAGAAAAAGTGATCGAATGGAATCTACTGATACCAAACGACAAAAGCCTTCTGTCCATTCTAGACAACTGGTTTCTAAGCCACTGAGCTCATCTGTTAGCAATAACAAAAGAATAGTTAGTACAAAAGGAAAGTCAGCCACAGAGTATAAAAATGAGGAATATCAAAGATCTGAAAGAAACAAGCGTCTAGATGCTGATCGGAAAATTCGTCTATCAAGTAGTGCCTCCAGAGAACCTTATAAGAATCAACCTGAAAAAACCTGTGTCCGGAAAAGGGATCCTGAAAGGAGGGCCAAATCTCCTACGCCAGATGGTTCTGAGGTAGTAAATATTATTGCAGATATAAAACAGAAAGCCATTCTTTTTGAGGCTTTAGAACTGTTTATTCACCCTGACCTTGTCTTTTATATGACTGCTGATTCCCTTTTTCTTTAAACATCAGAGAATTGGGCTTGAAGTGGATAGACGTGCAAGCAGATCCAGCCAGTCTTCTAAGGAAGAAGTGAACTCTGAAGAATATGGCTCTGACCATGAGACTGGCAGCAGTGGTTCTTCTGATGAGCAAGGGAACAACACTGAGAATGAGGAGGAAGGAGTGGAAGAAGATGTGGAGGAAGATGAAGAAGTAGAAGAAGATGCAGAAGAAGATGAAGAGGTGGATGAAGATGGAGAGGAGGAGGAGGAAGAGGAGGAGGAGGAAGAGGAGGAGGAGGAGGAGGAAGAAGAAGAATATGAACAGGATGAGAGAGACCAGAAAGAGGAGGGAAATGATTATGACACTCGAAGTGAGGCCAGTGACTCTGGTTCTGAATCTGTTTCCTTCACAGATGGGTCTGTCAGATCTGGTTCAGGCACAGATGGATCAGGTACTACTTTTTATATGTAAAAGTTTGTCTTAAAAAAAGCTTGATAGGTTTCAGTCTTGAAAATGTTTAAATTATAAAATTGTTGAGGAGATGGGGGATATTAATAGGATTGTCTTGTGATCCTTTATATGCTTTTGAATGTTATAAATACATTTGAATAATCTTGGATAAGATTTACATATTTTAGGAAAGGCATTTCCTAGCTACAGAATGGTTGTGTTGTAAATGAACACAAGTCCATTTGATTCTGTATAAGGAAATGTATTTCAGATTTCTGTAAATTCTTAGATTTTCATACCAGTCAGCAGTTTATTTAAACACTGATGTACTTGAAGTATATTCATAGGAAACCTGTCCACTGGGTATTACAGTATTTCCTTGGTAAAATACCCCTAGATTTCCATCATATGGCTTCAGAATCAAAACAGATTATTTCTTTTTTATCTCTGGGAGCACAGACTTTTCTTCTAATTTTGTGTCTGTCAGTTGACTGGCTGAGACAGGGTCGACAAGAGGGCTGGGGTGTAAGGTATAAGATGGAGATGAAGACTATAAATAAAATTCTTGTGGAAAAATCAGGTAAGAACCATCTTCAGTCATTTCTTCAATGCTATATATATCCTGCCTCTCTATACCTATGAGACAAAAATGTATGACTGTTACGTAGTTGGAGGCACTAGGCTTAGGGGAACTTTTCTTGGGGGAGGGTACAGCAAGGAGAGGTCAGGGTACTTACAGAGCACTATATGATGATTATAATCTCATGACTGTCTTATGTAAAGATGCTACCAGATTGCTACATAAGCAAAATGTACTAAACATAAGAAAATTCCTATTTTTTTGAAATACATTTACAGTTTATTATAGAATTTGATCATTTATAATAGTACATTGTTTTATATATATAGTATATATAGTATAGAAAAGTACTTCAGTTGCCAATCACTAGAAGATAACTGGCCATCTGCTCTACCTATACTATATACAGATAGTATATATCTATACTATATATTTTATACTATATATTTATACTATATGGATAGTATATATCTATACTACATACAGTATAGGTAGAGCAGATGGCCAGTTATTTTCTAGTGATTGGCAACTGAAGTGCTTTCAACCTTTTGTTCACTAGAATTCTAGGTTTGGGAGTTAAGATAGGCTTTTCAAGGGAGGTAGAGTTAAACAGAATAGATGAGTAGTTGGATTTGTTGTAAAAACATATGAAATCTTTATGCTTCCATCATGCCTTTTACAAACTGATAGGATATATTTTTTATAATTTAAGATAATAAATATTTCATTAGCAGTATGTGTTGAATGTTCATTTATTGTGGAGAATGTATGAAACCACTCCCTTGGGTAGGGAACGTTTTGTTGTAGGAATCTTCTTTTTGGTATCTCTGTTATTTCTTAGACTTTAATGTTTGTATTGTTTACATTAAACAAAGGGAACTTACTTAAATGGGTAGGACCAGAAATTGCATTTGTAACAGGCTCCTAGATGATACCATAGTAAGGTAACTTGATTGACACACTTTGTTTTTGTGGAGAAGACATTTCAAATTAAATGGTAACTGTAGTTTTATAATAAATCTTGATATCAAAACTCTGTTACTAGACTAGGTTTATTCTAAAAGAGATACCTGAAAGTTTTATTTTCCTTATAAAGGAAAATCCCTTATGTGGAACATGCTTTAGGTACTATATTAATATGCAGGAAATTTTTTTTTATACAATAGTTTATGAAAGAGTAATGGGGTGATTTTGGAACTTCTTGATTAAGAGACGTCAGTTTTTAAATAAAAGTGATCACAGTTGAGTTTCTCTGTCATGAATTTTCTAGATTCCAGTTCATTTTACCTTATTCTCAGAATTTTTGGTAACTTTATAAAAGCAACAGACTGATTGATAACAGTTTATTTATTAGATGATTTTCATTGTTCTTTTGACCTGAGAGTAATAGTTGGGGGAGAGGGCCATAAACTTAAGAGCATTGGGAGTTATTCATACAAAAATGATGAAAATTCCTTGGAGATTTCTCATGCTAATGCTAGGTTTAGCATTATATAAAAACAATTGAGTAGGATCTTCTGCTTCTGTTATTTTCCCTGCATTATCTCAGATCTTTTTAGTAACTTTTTAATTATTGTTTTTGTCTTTATATAAAGAGGGTCTTGCTATGTTGCCCAGGCTGGTCTCGAACTCCTGAGGTCAAGTGATCCGCCTGCCTCGACCTCCCAAAGTGCTGGGATTACAGGCACGAGCAACTGCACCAGGCCCTTTTTAGTACTTTGGACCATGAAATAATTCTTTTTTAACAGCAACAAGAGATAAATTACACTCAGTCAGATGCATTCATAATGCTTAGACTACTGAAAGAAATATCCATGGGGGAAAAATTAGAAGAAACATGTCAGAACTTTTGAAAGAAATAATGAAAAAAGCCCCCAAAACTAGTTAAACCTGTAATCACCTTTCAAAAATAGTATAAAACATCCTTTCTACTTGCTCAAGCCAGAGGACCTGCCCTTGAGTCTAGGTTCTGCCATCCAGGAACTGTGGGACCCTAGTCTAGTTGCCTAACTGCCTGTCTAATTCAAGGTTTCTTCATCTGTAATGAGAATATCTTGTGAACTTGTTATGAGAATTAAAGGAGATAAGTAGTTAAAGCTTTTTAAATAGCTGTCATTATATAGTAGGTTATTGTATACATGATCACTGATTATTATTTTTCAGCTTTCCATTGTTTATATAAAAATAAGTATATGCATTTTTTTCTTCCTATTCCCTTATCTCTAAGCTGAAAAGTAAAAGGAGCTTATCATGGTAAAACTAAGATAAAAATAAACAGATAGGAGAGCTGAATTCCATTTCAAGTCCTCATGTATATGCTTACAAAGTTCCAAATTAAGCTTGGGACTGGTTCTTACATGGCAGGTAATCCAAACCTTTTCTATTTACTGAAGATTTTCAGCTCTCTTACAGAAATACACAGGCTACCATTAAAATTGTAGGGATAAATTTTAAATTGAATTTGAAAATAAGAGCAGTAATCCAGGGAGGAAATGGCTAAGGAGAATGAAATAGAAGACACAAAAACAAGCAATGGCAACCAGAAGGGAATCACTAATTATGGTATATATATTTTTCCAGTTGTAAAGCTTTGGGTTCAGGGGTTCATCAGATCTCTTAAGATAGAATCAGAATTGTAATTGTGCTGAAGAATGGTAGTGGAGTTTAAAAAAATAAGGACTTAAGACAGTGTTACCTGGTGTGTAGAAAGGACACAGTTTTGAAAGAAATTGTTTTTGCTTTGCAAATTTCCCCCCCCGCTTGGAAAACTGTATTCAAGGCCACCTATATATGGCAATTAAGGCCCTGACTTTGTAGTTATTTCGTGTGTTTTTATTTGATTGAAACTGATGAAAGAAACAAGATGCCCGTACTTTTTAAACAGTATTTTTAAAATAAAACATTCTGAGGAAATTGAGGGATCAGGAGAGAGGAGCACAGACTAATAGAAGGGCTATGCAAAAACTAGACATGTAATGATACATTCTTGTTTGATTACTTCTCTTCGTTTCTGTATTGTGATTTAAAAAAAAAACTCTTGTTCTTTTTAGATGAGAAAAAGAAGGAAAGGAAGAGAGCTAGAGGCATATCTCCAATTGTTTTTGATAGAAGTGGAAGCTCTGCATCAGAGTCATATGCAGGTATTCTCATTTTGTGATCATATCTGACTTGATTCTAATGTAATCTGCTTTAGAAAGCGTGTGGAGGCTGTAGTTTAGTGTGAACTTGTTGATGTCCATTAGCACTGATTTTTGGCATGTTCAGTGTAATAATTCTAGAGAAAACTAAGCTTTTTCTTATTATTTTAATCCTGTTCTGTTACTGCTTAAGTGGAATTTTCACTTTTTTTTTCTTGGAAGATGATGATTCAGTGACTAGTTTTCTGAGTGGGAAACTGTTCAAATATACATACTTTTAAAAAAATCCAAACAACCCAAAAAGCAAAACACTCGTACACATTGAGAAGTTTTTTTTGTGTGTGTGGGTGCGCCAGGAAGAATAATTTGTCTTGAATGAGAATTTTATGTGACAAGACTGTAGAAATTTTGTCTTATCTCTATTAAAGCTCAATCTGAACAAATGTACTTTGGCTAAATACAGGTTCAGAAAAGAAGCATGAGAAATTATCATCTTCCGTTCGTGCTGTCCGAAAAGGTATCATTTAAATTTGAAATTGTTTTCATTGCATGCTGCATAGTCATTATTTTTCCTTATTGGTTCTCCATTAATAGCTGCTTTTAATGTAGTAATGTTCCGATATATTACATGAAGCAAAAAATAATATCTTAACATAGAAAGCTCTGTGTCTGCTTCTTACTGCATATTTTTTAGAATAATACCAAACATTTCAGGATATTTTAGTTTTTGGACAAAATGGGATGGGTGTGTGTGTGTATGTGTGTATGTGTTATATATAGATGTGTGTGTATATATATGTATGTATATAATGGTCTGTTATTCTTGAATCTGAGTAAGAAAATCTATAAAACTTGGTAACCATTTTCATACTTAAATATGGATTTGATATATCGGAACATCACTAGGTTAGGTTTACTTTCTTGCAATATGCTGATTGTCTTTTCTTAGCTTTGCTTTATTACATGTGGCTTAGCCTTCCAGGTTGAATGGGTGATTGTTGCGTTTTAAAAGTTTAGCTGGGTTGTGGAGGGCTAATTTCAGTTAGTACAGTTTTGACCCCTTTGTGTGATAATGGCTTGTGGTTAATCGATTTGGGTTTCTTTTTTTTTCAGATCAAACCAGTAAACTCAAATATGTGCTTCAAGATGCAAGATTTTTCCTCATAAAGAGTAACAACCATGAGAATGTGTCTCTTGCCAAAGCGAAGGTATTAGCATCAGTTCTGTTGAAACTATCCTAATATCAAAATTTTTAAATGGGAAAATAGACTTGTATTATATCAAGTAGCATAGGTATTATGATTTTCATTACGGCTTTAAAGATCTACATTCCAATGGCCACTTAGGATCTGGTTGTAGTCAGTCAGCCTACTTGTAATTTGAGTTTTCTTTTTTTTTTTTTAAGATGATTTTAGGGGTCAGAATATTAAATGTTGAAGGCTATACAGTTTAACTTTTTGCTGTAAAAGATCCTGTTTCTGTTGATTTTTGTTTCTGTACTTCCTCAGTGGCTCATTTATTGTGCTAACACTTCTAAAAGTACCTGTAGTTAACCAATTTTTGTTTTATGTTGATGCTTGATTTACACTTTGAGGTTCTTTTGAAATCATTCTTTTATGGAGAGTTTTATTTTTTAGAATTAAGATCATTGGGATTTAGAAGAAAAAGAATTAGCTTAAAGATCCACTCCAGACTTTGCAAAAAAGATATGCATAGTTGCTGTAGGATGTTGTAAGATAATAATTTTCTTTTTATGTTTGGCTACAAAAATACATTTTTGTGTTACACTAGCTGTTACAGTGTTTTGCTATTCTTGGTTTAAACTGAGTAACTACAGTTTCAACTGATTTTCAGAAACTTAAAACTAAAGTTAGACATTTCTCTAATGATATTTCTGTCAGTATTCTATATTTCTACCTTAAGGACTACCCCTAAAACTTTACAAACAGAAGGAAACAGTACACCAAATAGCCTTATTCTGTTCTCTAGCTTAAGTGGATTTAGGCAGAAGTACACTTGGCCCTCGGTATCCACAGGGTTCCTCATCTTTCGATTTAACTAACTGGATTGAAATATTAGGGGAAAAAGGAATGAGAAATAATAAAACAGAAAATACAAACTTAAACACAGTATAACAACTATTCACATAGCATTTACATTGTATTAGGTATAAGTATTCTAGAGGTGATTTAAAGTATATGGGAGTATATGCATGGGTTATACGCAAATACTGTGCCATTTTATATAAGGGACTTGAGCATCCTCAGATTTTGGTATCTGCATGGGTCCTGGAACCAGTCCCCAGTGGAGACTGAGGAACAACTGTAAGCACTTAGTTTGAATGAGATGTCATTTGTATGAGCAGATGGTGTGAGCTGAATGATAGCATCTGCCTTATTATTCCATTTCTTTTTATCTGTTATGAATGAAGAATTGGTTAAAATGCTTTAGAAATTAACAAATATCTTCCAGCTGTAGGTAAAACGTAGGCCTCTTCAGTCAAACTATTGATACATAAAAATTTGAACTTAAAAACTGCTTTAAAAAACGAACTTAAATAGAAAAATGCTAGATTCTTGACTAATAGAGTAATTTTAAATTATTTGATCAGGTACGGTTTTGCAAGAAGACTAACTTCTAAGTGGCGATTCACCTTCAAACAGGATGTATTTACCACAGTAAATGGTTGTAATATTAAAATAATTGTAGTGATTGGTTTTACTATATAGAATTCTAGTCCCTTAGATTTGAACCTCATCTCCATCTATTTACTACTTGCTTTAATGGTTTTGTAAAATTGGTAATTGTCTCCATTTTTTCCCTTAGGTTTTTATAAATTATTACTACGTTATTCTGACAGCTGATAAATAAAACCTTTCTTCATTATAGCTTACTTAAATTGAAAGCACACCAAAATATGTAGTTTTTTTTCAAACATAACTGGAAACACAAAAGAGTTGTAGTTAATTTCACTTTGTGGTCTTTATGTTATTTATGTAGGGTGTATGGTCCACGCTCCCTGTAAATGAGAAGAAATTAAATCTTGCATTTAGATCTGCAAGGAGTGTTATCTTAATATTTTCTGTCAGAGAGAGTGGAAAATTTCAAGGTAAGAATAAAAATAATTTGGACATATAAAAACATTAATTATATTAGCATCTACATATTATATTATGATATGATTCTCTTAGGGTTTGCAAGACTTTCTTCAGAATCACATCACGGAGGATCTCCTATACACTGGGTGCTTCCAGCAGGAATGAGTGCTAAAATGCTGGGAGGTGTCTTTAAAATTGACTGGATTTGCAGGTAAATTATACACTTCAGTATAGATAACTGAAATTTTGAATACACTACCAGTTTAGAATAATGTGTTAAAGTGAAAAAGTCACTGTATACTTATCTTACCTTGTTCAGTAACTACCTTTATCTAATGTGGGACACAACAAAGGCGTATTTAGTCTAAAGTTACATGTATTTGATTTGTTTTGTATATTAGTAATAAAGCAGTAAATGAATTGGACAGTTGCTTGAAATGTTGTCTGGCGTATCTGTATAATTTTAGTGATTTAACATGTCACTTAAGTTATTGAGGAATGGGAAATAAGTACTATGACTTGGCTAACAATTTCGGAGGTAACTAGTTTAGTCGTGGACAGTATTTTTTAAGGAGGTTAGCAAATGATGTTTAGTTGCCATTGTGATCTTCTGAAACTGAGTTAAGATTTAACTGTATTTATTAGAAAAATAATCAGGCTTATTTTGAACACTGAGTTGTCACTATTTTTAGGTCCTTACTGCACACTGAAGTATTGTACACAAGAAGCTCATTATTTAAGTGATCTTTACGTGGCATACACAAATGTATTACCTGTAAAATTAATTTTAGTTAAAAAGTGTCTGAAAGGAGATGGTTACTTTGTGAGTTTTAAGTTGTTTTTGGGTATTAGATCTTGATGAGCCTGAAGGGGTCGGATGAAAAAGAAGAAAAATGCTATGCATATGATGGAAATCAGCCTAAGCCAAGAAGAGCATGGAAACAAACTATGGGGTTGCAGGGTTGTGGGGAGCAGTGGGAGGGCATATGGATGTGTGAGTGGGATAGGGAGCTACCTTTTTTTATGAAGGAGATGGTTAGGAAAAGAGAAGAACAGAGGGCAAAGATGGATAAGAATGAATGAATGTGAGTCAGCCTAAATGTTTATTGTAGGATAGTGAGGAGCTGTGAAGATAGAGGGAGTGATATATTACAAATAGCATACAGTCACTTACTGTGTAGTGACATACCCATCAACAAAGAATCTTGTCCCATAAGACTGTAGGACTCGTAAGAGGTACCTATAATACCATATTTTACTATACCTTTTCTATGTTTAGATACACAAGTATTTTCCATTGTGTTACATTTACCTACACTATTCAATACAGTAACATGCTGTGCAGATTTGTAGGCTAGGAGAAACAGGTCATACCATATATCCTAGGTATGTAGTAGGCTATACCATTTAGGTTTGTGTAAGTGCATTCTGTGATGTTCACACAATGAAATCACCTAATGAGTGTATCCCTGTCATTAAGTGACACATAACTGTATTAGGTTGATAATAGCGTAGCAAAAAGCTATGTGCAGAAAAAATACTCATCCCATTATTACTTTCTGTGGGAAAGAGTTGGAAATCATCTAAATTCTTTGAAATAGAAAATTAGTTAAATTATAGTTTGTCTCTTAAATATATGTGGAAGTAATTGTGCACATATCAACATGGAAAGGTATAACAAATGAAAAAATACATAATTATGGTATTGGAATGCAGTGTTAGGTGGTGAGACTGTTAGTGCTTTCTCCCACTTCCTCTCTGTTGCCCCCAGGGGTTTTAAAATATAAACTTGGTTTTTTTGAAATCAAAATTATAATTAAGTTATAATTAAAGTTGAAAATCTGGTGACAATTTGTAGGAAAGGGAGTGATTATTTTTATTTTGTGTGTGTATGTGACTGCTCTGTAAAGGCCAGAGGAAACGTTGTAATGTAACATATTTGCAGGTGTTGCTTTCTTGGGAACAGGAGAGAAAATAATTGCCCATTTTTATGTGGGTTGCAGCAGATTTTGTTTCAAATGTTATTTGTTCTGTTAACCTTCATTTTTACATTACTGATAAGGAAATTCTTAATTTTAAGATGAATTTAATTTTTCATGGATTATTCATTCTTCATATTCCTCTTCATTGACTTATTGACTATTCTACTAATTTGTTTGAAATGTATCAAGCAACCGAAGAGGTAGACAGACTCAATTTGTCTATCCTACTAACGTGAGGTGTAAAATTGTGGGCAGTAAAGTGCTTTTATTATTTTAAAGTAAGTTTATGGGTTTACCTAGAAATAGTATTTTTACATAATAAAACTATAGTTTTAATGTTTTAATACTCAAGTTCTATTCAAGTGTAATTTTACAATACTTTACAGTTCTGGAGGGCTTGTGATATTTCTAACATTGATATTTCCTTAGATAAGTCACTTGAACTCTCTTGAGTTTAAATTCTCTCTATATAGTGAGAATTACATTTGAGTCTCAGAACATTTAAATTTAATAAATAGAAATGGTCAGGACTTTGCTATCAACAGTAACTGCTGTTAATATTTTTTTCTTTTGCAGATATAATAATTATTAGATTTATATTTAAGGACCCTTTGGATATAATAATAACTAGACTTAAGCTTTTTTAGGTGTGATCCCTGGATCACTTACATCAGTAGCATCTGACTGTTAAAATGCAGAATCTTGAAACCCACCTCAAACCTGTTAAATTCTTGATGGTTCAGGTAGTTGGTAGGCACATGGAAGATTGGGACCAGATAAGTGTCATGTTTTAGCTGATAAAGAGAGGGAGGCATAAAAAGCGACTTATTAAGGTTGCCACCTGTAATTAGCTCAAAATAAGGCATGATCTATGAAATACTATTCATCCAGAGTTACATTTACTGACTAGGTGTTATATTCCTTTCATGTCCATTCCAAACAACCCATTTCTGTTTTCATTTAGAGTCTCTCCATTTTTCTTTTCTTTTCTTTTGAGACGGAGTTTCGCTCTTGTTGCCCAGGCTAGAGTGCAATGGCGCAATCTCGGCTCACCACAACTTCCGCCTCCCGGGTTCAAGCGATTCTTCTGCCTCAGCCTCCCTAGTAGCTGGGATTACAGGCATGTGCCACCACGCCCGGCTAATTTTTTATTTTTAGTAGAGACGGGGTTTCTCCATGTTGGTTAGGCTGGTCTCGAACTCCCGACCTCAGGTGATCCGCCCGCCTCAGCCTCCCAAAGTGCTGGGATTACTACAGGCATGAGCCACTGCGCCCGGCCTCCATTTTTCTTTTTAACTTTAATCAACAAACCACTGTCCAGCATATAAGAGCCTCTGCATGGCTGGGCGCAGTGGTTCATGCCTGTAATCCCAGCACTTTGGGAGGCTGAGGTGGGTGCATCACTTGAGGCCAGGAGTTCGAGACTAGCATGGCCAACATGGTGAAACCCCGTCTCTACTAAAAATGCAAAAATTAGCCAGATGTGGTGGCGCATGCCTGTAGTCCCAGCTACATGGGAGGCTGAGGCATGAGAATCCCTTGAACTCAGGAGGCGGAGGTTGCAGCAAGCCGAGATCATGCAGCTGCACTCCAGTCTGGGTAACAGAGTGAGACTGTGTCTCAAAACAAAAAACTGTGCACAGTTTTACATTCTTTGTTAAATTTGCCCTATTTGCAGAACCACTTAGGTCAGAGAGTCCCTTACATGTTCTCAAAGAACTCACAGTAAAGATAAGTTGTATCTGTATGCTTCATAACATAGCTGCTCAGAAGGTAACTGTTAGGTTGCTTGTTCTATGATTGTGATCTGAGAAGAAAGGATAAAATAAGGATGCTACATGGATCACAGACCCTGCAATTTTTCTTAATTTATTCTGAGCCCTGTTTTGCCTCAGGCTTCACAGTTTTCTGTGATGTTCTGGCTGAGATTAACTGTGTTGAAACAGTGAACAGATGTCTCTTGAATCTAGTTGGAACCAGTGCCACCAAAGAATCTCAACCCCAAATGATACATTTAGCTTGGCCTATGCTTTTACTTCTACTTGGATCGTGGGTATTTAATTGCTGATATTTAAATAACAGTGATAATCCCATTAATTTATAACCTTCTTATATTTTGGTGGCTGTAGGTTTTCATTTATGCCTTTCCTATAACTGTTTTAAACTGGCAATTAGAAGAAAAATTTAAATTATTCAACAGAATACAAAGAAAACTAGATCTCTGCCTCTGGATATTCAAGCTTTGATGTGGACTTGTTCTAGTCTTTCTACTTCTGAGAGCCTGAAAAGGGGGAAAAAAAATTCAGTATTTTTGACTCACTCTTGATGGGTGAAGTAAGGTGTATATTAGAAAAAGAAACCAAGCTTTTAAGTGATACTTAGTGGATATTTTCATTACTCACTGACCACTCTTCCATGTATATATATATCACCTCCATCACAGAATATACCACCTTGTTAATTTAACTCTAAAATACTTCTATTTCCCTGGAAAATGTCAAAGTTTTTCCTGAGGTTTAAAACAAGTTATATAAGATCTGAGCATTCAGGCCAGGTGTGGTGGCTCACAGCTGTAATCCTAGCATTTTCGGAGGCTGAGGTGAGAGGATTGCTTGAGCCCATTTATTCACAATCAGCCAAGGCAAAATAGATCCAATCTCTAAAAAATTAAATTTAAAAAAAGGTCTGAGCAGGCAATATTCACTTTCAAGAAAATTCATGTAAGGTTATGTGGCATGTTCACTGGGCAAAGTTACTTATGTTTTCCCTTTTCCATTATGCCTGTGTTCTAGCCCTTCTCTTTGTTTCAAATGTATCCCTGCCTTAGTTCTCTACATAAGGCTTTACCTGGGTTTTCTTTCAAGCTTAACTCTTGTACCACTTCTTTCATGAAGCATTTTGTGATTATTTTTCTTTCTTTCAAAATAGATACAACCACTCCTATTAAAAACAAAAAAAAAATCTTCTGTATTGTGCATATAGTACCCATTGTCTTTGAAAATTGTGTGTGCTTATTTTTCTTCGATGGCTATGGAAGAAAGGTTAGGGATGCAAACTCTTATCTTTCTCGTCTTTGTATGTACTTTGGCTGAACAGTTTCATTTGTATTGTAAGTACAGTGAATAGTTCTTTAAAGTGTTTATTTATTTTGGCATTATTTGTTTTATGCACAGGCAGATAAAACCTTATCAAATAGTGTTAATTTACAATTATTTCTTGGCAGCTAACAACTGTTGGTTATGTGTCATCTTTGTATTCATGTGACATTGTGCTAGGTTGACAAAGAACTATAAAAATAGAGGATATCTTTTTAAGTTTGGTGAGACCATTTTGTCATGGCTTAGAGATCTTAAAACCAGGTTTTTAGTATTTAAATTATATAGATACTGCCCTTGAGTTTCAGTAAAGGGCATAATTAATATAAATATATGCATTTATAAATAAATTATCTATTGTACAACTCAAGCCATTCTATGCGTAGTGAAGAGTATTGCCATATTGAATGAGGAAGTACACTTGAACAGGGAAAGCACCCTCCAAATGAGAATAAGGGACACTTCTATTTTCATTTGGTTTTAACAGCTGGGTTAAGGTCCAGCTTCTTTTTGGTCAGTTTTTAAGTTTTTTGAGTTCATAGAAGAAAGGGATATACTAAATATTTTCTGTGTCATTTCATTTGCAAACTGCGTAAAACAACTATAAAGTAGATGGTGATATTCTTGTTTATCAAAGAAATAGATTCAGGCTCAGAGAAGAGAGCAGGCTGGGGTTTAAGCCCCAAGTTATCTTGGTTCTCAAGCCCTTGCTCTTAAGCTCTTTTTTAGAAAACTGGAGAATATGGAAAAAGTCTCTGAAGAGGCTTTCTATAGGGAATTAACCACTGTAAGTGGTTTTTAAAATTTAGTCACATTTAAGTCACAGTTAATACAGGAATTCACTACTAAAAGTAGTATAAGGTCCTTAAAGGATTCTGCAGAAGAATGTAATTGATATTACTTTGTATTTAGGCGTGAATTACCCTTCACTAAGTCGGCTCATCTCACCAATCCTTGGAATGAACATAAACCAGTAAAGATCGGACGTGATGGACAGGTTTGTGGCCTTAATTGATTCTTTAAAAAAACACATTTAATCAACCCTTTTAGAGATCTTTATTGATGTATTCGTTTTAACCGTTTCTGATGAAAGAGACCACGTGAGAATTTGAAAAAATAATCTTATCTGAAGTTTATAATAACTGTGATTGAGACTAATAAGACATCCATTAATGTTGAAATATAGGCAGCTTTATATGGTACTTTCATTTGATACAATTGAAGGAAATATTTCTAAAGAGAATTTGCCAGATTTAAATTTGTTTTGACTATATTATCACTGTTTAACAGATTCTTCAGTTTCTGTAATACATTTTAGAATTGCCGTTTAGTATATGTGCTAGTTTTCTGAGTAGAAAGCAGCTTTCTGAAAAGATTAAATATATGTACTCAGGTTTTCAAGTCTACAAATGGAACTGAAAATGTGGAGTAATTGAAAATTAACCAAAACCTTTCTTTGACCCTTGTAATTCTCACATGTAATTCTGAACCAGAAGTTTTGTTTTATTTTATTTTTTAATTTTAATTTTTTTGGAAACCAGGTTACGAGAGTGGCTAATTTTTGTATTTTCGGTCGAGACAGGGTTTCACCATTTTGCGAGGCTGGTCTCAAACTCCTGGCCTCAAGCGATCCGCCTGCCTGGGGCTCCCAAAGTGCTGGAATTACAGGCATGAGCCACTATGCCTGGCCATGCAAAAGTAATATGACATTTTATTGCTCATGAGTAAAAATGTTTTCACTTTTTCAATTACAAATAGCTGAAAATGATTTAATTTTAAAGAGCCCATAGATTGGTCTGCCTTTGTGGTAAATCTAATGTATTTCAATACACTTAGTAGATCATAATTATCAAAGTTGTTGGTACACACACTAACATGAATTTTTTTTTTCCATTGTATTAAATGACCTTGTCCTGATATTTTTCTATTTTGCACAAAGAAATAGTCCCTTTTCAGAGGGTGGTTGTCACAGAATTTTAAGCAACTGCATTTGTGTATTTAACTTCAGAGATTCTACACTTTTAGTTTTTACCCTTTATATAAATACACAAAACACTTTTTAAATGTTTTATAAATCTGGAAGTCTTATTGGAATCCCATATGATCATCAGCCTTGGGAAGAAAGCTTCCAAGTCAGTTTTTGTTCTGGTACATCAGGAAAATGCAAGTCTGTTGAAAGGGTCTGTTTTTGTTTTATAAATTGCTACTTTCCTATTCTAGGAAATTGAACTTGAATGTGGAACCCAGCTTTGTCTTCTGTTTCCCCCCGATGAAAGTATTGACTTGTATCAGGTCATTCATAAAATGCGTCACAAGAGAAGAATGCATTCTCAGCCCCGATCACGAGGACGTCCATCCCGTCGAGAACCAGTCCGGGATGTGGGAAGGTTAGAAACGTTCTTTGGACTGATAATAGGCACATGTATCAGAATAACATGATGGAGGAATATGATTCGTCAAAAGTTTGTCCTGCGGTAAAGAAGAAAGAGAAAATCCTCAAATCAAGCTGCATGGACTAGTTTGTGGCTTCATTGAGGATTTCACATGGTCACCTTGGTCTCAGTCATTTTTCAAGAGGAAAATGGGGATCTTTCCTTATGCAGAAAAAAGTATAACCAGTGATAACCAGTTTAGATTAGATAATACTCTGATAATACAATGTATACAATTGAAATGAGGTAGGCATTTGTTGCTAAGAACAGGCTAGAAAGGAGGAAGAGGAGGAAGTCTTTATTTGCAAAAATTGTTAATACTTTTTAAAAAGCCTTTTCTTTCAGGTATGTCTCTGGATAAGCCTTATCAGATATGGGACTTTTATAAAGGATCACTAATATTTTTTCAGAAGATGACGCCTCATTTAGAGGATAAAATATTTTAAGTTATTTTGATATTCAAGAGGAGCATTATTGGGACTGTTTCAGATTTTATCACCGTGATGTGTTAACCCTATTGCCAAATATTCTCTAACATGTACCCAGTGAATTCACACATCTTGCTGAGCTTCTGAAAACAATAGGTTCTTTCCAAAGGGGATCAAGTGGCCCTGGGAGACCCGGCAACAAACCAAAAAGAAGGGCTGTTGCTGTGTCTGTTTACAACTTTTCCAGATGCTGGCAGTACCTGTGGACTTAAAAGTGTTTTTTAGAGGATCGCCATGGTTATTGATCACTACTTTATGAACTAAACAGCATTTTCCAGAAAAAGGGGGTTTAACTTGTTACAGAATTGGAGAAGTCTTTGCAAAGGACTGATTTAAGCCCTTCTACCCAACACCTTCCCCTGTGTAGATTTGCATACAGCTAAATCTAAAATATTCTGCTAAAGACTATTGGATGTATGGTTGATGGGATGAAACCTTTGATTAAATTTCCTTTTGGTGGAGACATCCTGTGGTAGGTACAGATAATCCAACAAGAGTCCCCATTTCTTTGAGCTTAAAAAGGACACTGTCGAGTAGGTAGGAGGAAACCTGGCAGAGCCCCTTATTTTTGGCCTAAAAGGACTGAGCACCAAGATGTCTTTTGAAGTTTTAAGCTAAGAGGTTTCCAGTGCAATACAATATATACAAGTGAAGTTTTTACCTCAGTTTTGCAATGGACTGCAAACTATACTTATTACACCACTACACCTTCTCTCAAGCCTGCCAGGGCCTCCATTTATGTATGTGGCTTACAGCTTAAAGTCAGTAGTTGGACTACTATATGAACTGTTACTATCATGTTTTATACCGGTCGTAAATGCACTCCCCAAACTACAGGAAAGCGGTATGTTTATTTTTTAAACCAGCTTTTAATTTTCTTAGTATTATTTATTGTAGATGCAACTGTTTTTATTCTGTTGGGGGGCTTGGGATTATTGCACTTAACTTTGCAGTTTGAGTGAACTGTGTTGAAAAAGTTAATGAAAGCAGTTGGTACTCAGACAAATAGCTGAAAACTAGTGAATGCTAGGTTGTTATCAAGTTTTTATTTGACATTAAGGTTAAAAAGATATATTTATTTTCTAAATATTTTGGACTTTTTTTTTGTTTAACTCTTTATTAGCTGCTAAGTAAATTGAAGTGTATTTAATGATGTGTTAAGTTAACCCGATTTATGGAAGACAGTAAAGAACAGCCCTCTGTAGTCAGTAAAGTTTCACCTTCTAAAGAATATATTTTGAATTAGTTTTATGAACTCTGTTAAAATTCTGACCCATTACTTGCCAATTTATAAAAGCCTATTTTATTACAAGGCATTGTCTCTGGAAAAAAAAAATTCCCTTAATTCTTAAATGTCATTAGATGTAGAAAGAAAAACTAAATGTTACTAAGGATTATTAAGAAATAGTTTTTTAACTATTAAGATTTTAAAAACTTTCCTGTAAAGTTGCTTTTAATAAGTATCAAATTTTCTGTATGATCATGTAAAATTCATAATTTGTGCAAAGCAGAGGAAAAATAAATTCTTAATTTTGTTTAGACTTAACCTAAAATGACATTTATAAGTTTTAAATATGCAGATTTTAGAGTTACATATTGTACAATGATGATAGGTTTTTCTAGTTTTTATTTTTCATCTGAATGGAGACTTTATTTGGGAAAGTGTTTTAATTGTTAAAACTGATATTTAGTTTGAGAATGACTTTGTTTACTTTTGTTTAGACTACTAAAATGTGACTTACATGTTTTGATTGGACTAGTCTGCAATTTTCTCATCATAGCATGAGTTGGCAGAGAATATCTACTTCCAGCAGTACATTTAAAGTTTGGTTTATAGGAATTAATTTGAGAATCAAAATGTAGGAATTTTAAAATAATTTGCTCACTAAAAAAATTAAGATGTTAAATAATGGGTTATTCTTTGTACTTATCTCTGTCAGAAACTCTTGCTTTACTCTTTGTTCTCCCAGCAGTTTTTGGTTTAATTTCTAATGTGTCTAATTTGTGTAGGCGTCGACCAGAAGATTATGATATTCATAACAGCAGAAAGAAACCAAGGATTGACTATCCCCCTGAGTTTCACCAGAGACCAGGTTAATATTTTATAATCCTGCAGATATTTGATTTCAAATTATTGGAAAAAAATTAAAAAATTAAAAACAACCCTCACAATCCTGCAGTTTTAAAAGTGAAAAAAATTCAGGACCTGACTACTTAAATCTTGAGAAATTTTAGTAGTTCTCATTAGTGTAATTCTTCCCTTAACTTCGTTAAGGTTGTCTAGTCTATTCCAGTGTAACTCATCATACCCTATGAATTACCTGAAATTGCTAATTTTGCAAAAATGGAAACTTATCTGCACATGTGTTTAAGGTTAAAAGTAGTTATGAAAAGCAATAACCTTATATTCTATCAGGCTTTTTGTTCCCTATGGTAGTTAGTGTTTCATGTGATACATATACATACAATGCTACTTTTTTTAAATAAAAATCTTTATGTCTTTGGAGAGGAATGGGAAATACTCGGTATGTAATCTAAATGTAGCTTTTCAATTAATCTATCCCTTACTGAAATTTAAGAGAGCAAACTATATTCAAGAAGGGATATCATGTATTTGAAGAGAGTCAGTGATACACTTGTGAAACTTAGGCAGTTAGGAGATTGATGTTAGTGATCATTATAGCACTATTATGTAACAAGTGGCTTGATTAGCCTCATTCTTCCAAAATAGGTTGTCCTGTTGTAGAAAGTGAAAATAGTTTTTCCCCAGTAACATGACTACTCAAATGTTTTTACATTTTAATTTGTTGGGTTCTTATTAAAAGAAGCAGGGGAAAGAATATTTTTCTAACCACCATCGATTTTTCATTTTCAGTGTATACATCTTCATTTTTGCAACTTTTGCAATTTTTTCCCCCTCCCCCTTAAGTTTACATTTTAAAAAGCTTATCTGTGGTTTTCTTGGTAAGACCTACATATACCCAAGGTGGAAAGTAAACATTTGTTTTAAGGAAGTCCTGTCATAGTGTGCTCAAGATAGTTCCTCTGCCCTTACCTTCCCTGTGAAGCAGAAGGAAGAAATTTTCTGATTAGCAAGATTTGGAGTGTGAACATAGAAGATACCTATCTGAAAGCTTCTCTAGCAGTTTACAATTCTATGATATCATTAGTTATTTCCTAGATTATCATGTAATCTGAGAAGAAAATTTGAAAATGGGATAATACAGTAGTAGCATCACTTAAAGTACATATTTCATGGAAAGAATTGAAACGAGTGGTAAGGAAGGTTTAATTATAATGCCATAAAAGAAAAATATAAATTTGATTTACTAAAATGCTTGATGTTTGAACAGGGTATTTAAAGGATCCACGATACCAGGAAGTGGACAGGTAAGTCGGGTTCACTCTTGCCTAGTTTTGAATTACATTCTTGGAACTAGTTTATGAATTACCTGAATTTAGTTTCACAAATCTTATTCCCAACAGACGATTTTCAGGAGTTCGCCGAGATGTGTTTTTAAATGGGGTAAGCATTTCATTTTATCTATTTAATGTGGATAAAATCAGGCTCTGATTTATTTTGCAGTTCTGTGATAATTTTTAATTATATTGACATTATCATCTTTTATTTTAGTCCTACAATGATTATGTGAGGGAATTTCATAACATGGGACCACCACCACCTTGGCAAGGAATGGTTTGTATTATTCTATTTTTATAAGTTACATAACTTAATTTGCAGTTCTAGTATTTCAGGTGCTTACTCGGAATATGATTGTTACAGTTACTCATTAAAGAGACTTAAACTGGCCAGGCGCCGTGGCTCACACCTGCAGTCCCAGCACTTTGGGAGGCTGAGGCGGCTAGATCACCTGAGGTGAAGAGTTCGAGACCAGCCTGGCCAACACGGTGAAACTGAAACCTTGTCTCTACTAAAAATACAAAAAACATTAGCTGGGTGTGGTGGCGTGTGCCTGTACTCCCAGCTACTCGGGGAGGCTGAGGCAGGAGAATTGCTTCAACCCAGGAGGCAGAGGTTACAGTGAGCCGAGATTGCGCCACTGCACTCCAGCCTGGGCAACAGAGGGAGACTCCATCTCAAAAAGACTTAAAATACAGATTTTTGATGATAAATAATTGTATGCTGTCTTTCAAACTAAAGACTAAAAGCTCATTTGTGTTAATAGTACAGGCTTGAGAACTGTAATAGTGTATTATGGTAGTAATTAGTAGTGCAAAGTCCGCTTGGGTTCAGATATATTTCTTTTTCTTCCCAACTCTGTGACTTTGGGTTAATTTCTTAATACAACTCTTAGTTTTCCTCATCTGTAAAATTCCATGGGCATTCACTGATGCTTTGTCTTATCAAATATAATATTTAGTACTTACTCTGTGCAAGGCACTGTGCTTGTTCTGATTATATCATGGTGAATGAAATTGACATCATGACTGTCCTGGTATAGCTTAAAATTTAATGTAGTAGTGTCATTTTCATTGTCAAGATAAATTTACAAAGTACATGTTAAGTTTAGCATAGTGCCTGATCTAATACTCACTAAATTTTCTGTGTAAAATAAGATTAATTAAACCCTGATTATTCCTGCTTTTTAATTATTTCCTTTAAGAAAACTGAATTGTCTTAGAGTATATTTTAAGATATTGAAGATAGCTGAAGCATTAATTTTCAAGAAATAAAAACCTGGAAGTTGAAGTAGCTTCTACTGTTTTCTTACATTTTAATTTATGTCTTTTTTTAAATGCAATATGTTATATGGCCTCTTCATCTGACTTTTGTTTCACTTTTAAGGTATACAGTTTTATACTATTATATGCAGATGATTATGAGACTTTTCCCCTTTAGATTCTAGGAAATTTTAAAAATTTAATAATATATGATCTTGATAGTAACTATGAAAGTAATCTTTAATTTACCCTTTATTCATTTTTTAAATGGCATTTAAAAGTTAATTTGCTCCTGGACTTTTTTTTTGAGAGACAGGGTCTCATTCGGTCTCCCAGGCTGGAATGCAGTGGTGTGATGATAGCTCTGTGCAGCCTTGAACTCCTGGGCACAAGTGGTCCTGCTGCCTCAGCTTCCTGAGTAGGTGGGACTACAGGCACATGCCACTGTGCCTGGCTAATTTTTTTATAGAGACAAGGTCTCACTCTGTTACCCAAGCTGGTCTCCAACTCCTGGCTTAAGGGATTCTTTTCCCTCAGCCTCCCAAAGCACTGGGATATGGGCGTGAGCCACCACACCAGGCCTGTTGATGTTTCTAAGAACAGATACATACAAAGTGGTTAACCAGTTTACCAACTGCAGAACTAGGATGCCTGATGCCGTATGCCTGCTTCACCACTTTAACAGTAGTGTGACTATAAGCAGGTTACTTAACTCCTTGTTGCTTCAGTTTTCCCTTTTGTAAACTGGGAACAATAGTATCTATCTCATAAGGTTGCTGTGAGAATTAAATGAGACTAGTAAAGTGCTTAGAACAATGCCTGGCTCACAGTAAGCACCATGTAAGTGTTTGCTATTTCCATTGTTATTTATATGATAGGAGTAGAAAAGCATAAACATGTTAAATCTTAGAAGATGTGTAATTTTCGACAAAAAGCATATTTTGAAACACCTTAATGCCATCAAAGTAAATGTCTAGTACAGATTCACTTGTTTGGGATTGGTGTTTTGGATGAAGGGTTCTAAGAATCGCTTGTTTACAAGGGTGTTGGTAGATTCTTAATGTAAATGGTTTTCCTTTTTTAGCCCCCTTACCCAGGAATGGAACAACCTCCACACCATCCTTACTATCAGCACCATGCTCCACCTCCTCAAGCTCATCCCCCTTACTCAGGACATCATCCAGTACCACATGAAGCAAGATACAGAGATAAACGAGTAGTAAGTGCACAAGGAGGCAAAGGTGTGAGGGAACTACTTAGAATTCTGTAGGTAACTTAAATATGGGGAGACCAGAGTATGATGATTGACGGACCATTGCATATTCTTACTGCAGACTGTTTTGGAATAATTGTTTGTTTTTATTAAAAATGCCTGATTATGCCCCTTTGGATTATATAGATAGAATATATTTCTTTTACTGATCAAATCACAAACTGCTTAAGGCAAACGCCTACAAATAGAACTCCTTTTAGGTAGTACCTAGGCTATGTTCTTTCCATATTGAGATCTTAATTATGCTATGTAATTAATATTGTTAATAGATATTTCTGAACTTTTTGTGTATTCTTACTCAATTTTTCTAGGATAGATCGTGTATATTAAGTTAGCTGATAAGCTGTAATCTCATTTAGTCATTTGTTTTTATTTCTACCAAATGTTAAAGCTAGTAACTGATAAATTGTTTTACCTCTGGTTATTGTGATGTTAGCAAAGAATAACCAGATGTTATGATATGTAGCAGACATGTCCTTTATTCATTGATTCTGTTAATTATTTGATAAGATTGATGTGAAAGCTTTTTTTGATGGCTTCAAAACAGGACCAGTGAAAAAAAGACTCTAGTTTTAGTTTGAGTTTTCTGGGTTTTTAACTAGTGGGGCTGAGTTTATTAAATGCTTCCCCACCCCCCCCAATAGTACTTTTATTTATAAAGCAGAATTGTCTTCTGGCAAGTGTTGGAAGCATAATTCATATGCATATAAGTTTGATAGCCTTAGAAAGGTAGTTTTGTTGTTAAACTAAGTAGGATATGCAAGTTAGAATTTTTTTCCACTCCCTACTTAGGTTGATGAGTCTGTATGGGGCCAAATAAACATCTTTTTATTTTCCCACTTAAGATGAAGAGTGGGCCTATTTGTGAGAATCAGAGCAGCTTTCTAGCCTATCTTTGAGACATTTTTTTGTGTTGTCAGTAATTTCCTTATAAAGATAGTAATTTTCTCTAAATCAAATCTTATCATGACTTCTAACATTCTGTAAAATAATTTGAGAGTACTAGTTAACTAATTCACAAACTTTAAATTAGTAGTTTATTTTCAGTTAAGCACACAAGAAAGAAATATACAGTCTATCTATAATGAAATCTTAGTTGACTAGATGGGTTGTGGTGTCTTAAAAATTCCCATAACTGATCACATGGCTTTTAAAATAGGAAGTCTGAGATTTTTTTGTTTTCCTCAACTATATCCTTTTTAACAAGTTCTATTTTATGGATCTTTATGTAGTGATTTTTTGGTTAGTATACATATTCTCTACTTACATAATCACATATATAAAAGGTAATGTGGGACTGTGTTTTCAAATCTTATTTCAGCTAAGTTTTGAGAGAAGACCAAAATCAGTAAGGTAAGCTGAGAACTAAGAGTAGAAAGTTTAAACTAGAGCAGGGGCCAAGTTTAGGAGCAGCCACAACTTTTCTTGCACATCAACTTAGTTGTAACAATTTAGTTTGAAAGAAAATCTGGAACATAATACTCAGTTTGTAAAATTGAAGTTGGTAGAATTGGAGGAAAAATGTAGAGCTAGCCTGTGCCAGAAAAACATTGATGACATTTAGCATAATTGGCAGTATATATGGATAATAGTTGAAGGTCATCACTAGTTAATATCTTTGGCCTAAATCTTACTGAAGGGATCAGATGGAAAAGTCATTAAAGTTAAGTGGAAAACTGCATAAAGAGATTTGAATAATCTGTTGTAGATGTCTAATGAGGCATCATCCTTTTTCTAAACCATGTCAGCATATTACCTTCTGTGAATTAATTTATTATTGCATTTCTTTGGATTGTTCTCTCCGCCGATTATAATACAGAGACTTTTCTTTTTTTATATTTTAAAATTGTTTATATAAATTTTTTTTTCAAATCAGGGATCCACTTAACACTATTTGCCTTTTTGACATACCTAACACATTTCTTTCCTTTTCTAGCATGATTATGATATGAGGGTGGATGATTTCCTTCGTCGCACACAAGCTGTTGTCAGTGGCCGGAGAAGTAGACCCCGTGAAAGAGACCGGGAACGAGAGCGAGACCGCCCTAGAGATAACAGACGAGACAGAGAGCGAGATAGAGGACGTGATAGAGAAAGAGAAAGAGAGCGATTATGTGATCGAGACAGAGACCGAGGGGAGAGAGGTCGATATAGAAGATAATGGGCTTTTGGAAGCACTGATTGTTTAAAGATACAAAAAATCTTGTATTTTTTTTTTGTGTGTGTTTACAAGTAGTAAATTTATTTTCAGCTGTCTGCCTATGAAGTTCATTGTGTAGAAGGATTTATTATGACCCCCTTTGTTCCAAGCATGCAGTATCATAAGAACTGGAAAAACTCAAATCCGCCAAAAATCCACAGCTGACAGTTGAATTGACACTTTTATTGGGGCAGAATGGAACAGTCCAAGAATGTAGATACTGATTCTTTCTCCATAAATGTTCTTATAGTGTGTTCATCCTAGAGTTATTTTTTTGTTTGTTTTTTTCCTTTTTGGATCTTGATTGATAACTGCCATGATATTTTGCTTTGATGTGTTTCTACATGTAGTTGCACACGGTTCAGTAAAAATAATGCTGCTATCGAGTATGCAAATATTGAAGTATGATGGTTTGACTGTATGGCAGTGTTGTAGCAGCCTCTTGTTTTTTTCCCCATTGCCTCTTTTTTTAAAAAACTTATAAAGTCACTTTTTATTTTTCCTCAGTCTTCAATGACGAGAGCAATATTAAGAAGACATTGCTATCTAATTTTTAATCTTTTTAAATGAAAAATTCCTATGTTCAGTAGCGTGGTTGATGCTATTGTTTAGCCTTCCCCTCCAAATTGTATACATTGGCTTGGAATGTTCACAACTTGCGTGCGTGGCAGCGGAAGACGATTCCCATATTCTACATTGCTACTGTTTTGTATAAAATAAATTGGTAAAGATTGACGGTTATCTTTTGTATCTTTTTCTTATCCAATTGCAGGTTTGTTTTATTATGCAATAATGGACATAAAAGCATGCTTTTTGTTCAGGAATTTTAGGAACCCCATTTGCTTTTTTTGAGGCACACTTTAGCAGAAATGATTGACCTAGGCCTGTTGCATTAAAAGCTTACTTCTATTTCTAACATAAGATACACAGAGTTATGTTAATAATTTGGTTAAGTATTTATACACCTGATAACATTTTGAGTCTACTCTGATCACAGAATCGTTTATTTAGGTTTTCTATTTGTTGTTTTAGTCTTCTGTAAGTGAACGACTTTGTACATGCTTTCTACTTTACTTCATAAATGGACTTTTAACCCTCTTGTATTAGTTCTGTATTTTAAGTTAACTGTCCAGTTCTCCCAGTGGTAACCAACTATAACATAGAAATAGAGCCGCTCAAGAAAACAGTTTATGAAATAATTTTTTTGAATTTTTTCTTGAGTTACACCTGGAGTTTTGGCCTTTGGAATTTGGCCTTTATAAACATTAGGAATATTTGAATGTTTGATTTTTTTATAGTATCAACAGTTGTACTGTGTACCAGATCACATAGTACAGTTTTACATTTAATCTATATTGGCCTGAAAAGAACAACACAGGCACTTTACTCTTAAAGGATATAATAAACTATAGTTATACTGCATTCATATTCATACCAGCATGTAGTATCTTTCCCTGCATTCACAGAAGTTTTATTTACAATGACAAAACTAAAGCCTGAGGATTTGTTTTAAATCTGCATTGTGGTAGAGAGGAAAAAGTACTTTTAAGGAAACCTGGGTTCTAGTTTTGTCATTGTCTTTAATTAAACCGGTTAGTGATACATGGTAAGTCACTTCATTGGCATTTTGTGTATTCATCAGTAAGCTAGACAAGATGATAGCTACAGTTTAAGA
Organism: Homo sapiens; assembly: GCF_000001405.40. Lineage (NCBI taxonomy): Eukaryota > Metazoa > Chordata > Mammalia > Primates > Hominidae > Homo > Homo sapiens. The sequence goes on along the minus strand of NT_167250.2, from coordinate 6,026 downwards.
ATTTCTGTAACCATTATACAAAACTGGTAGGTAATATTAAAGGTATTTTCCTGAAATAATAGGAATAAATACTGAGCACTTTGTATGCAATAGAGACTTTGTGCTTTTATATACAGACTCATTTAAATGGGCTCAGAGAGGCTAGTAAACTTGCCCAAGATTAGAAAGGTAGTAATTGATGGGCCAAGATTTTACCCATGTTTTTATTTGGTGTTTCTAAACCACCTCATCACTTTTGAAAAAACAGTATATAAATTAATAAATGTTTTGGAGATGGAGTCTGTCGCCCAGGTGGAGGGCAGTGGCATGATCTTGGCTCACTGCAACCTCCTGCCTCAGCCTCCCGAATGGCTGGGACTACAGGCACCCACCACCACACCCCGCTAATTTTTGTAATTTTAGTAGAGATGGGGTTCCAACATGTTGGCCAGGCTGGTCTCAAACTCGACCTCAAGTGACCTCACCTGCCTCAGCCTCCTAAAGTGTTGGGATTACAGGCGTGAGCCACTGCACCTGGCCTGAGATTTTTAAACATTAACATTTCCTTCAGGCTTAAGCAGAGGATTTTTCTAAAGTGCCATCCAATTAGATGTTAAGTTATGCTTTGTATGTTGAGCTTAGTATTGAGTCGATCTATTTTAAAAAGCCAACATTAAGTTTTTACCAAGTATCTGGCACTATTCTAAACAATTCTGTTGGCTCACATAATCATCACTGTTTTCTCCTTTCCTAATTTTTAAAATAAACTTACCGGAACATTGTATAAAAAATGCAAGATTTTTTTCTGTACAGAAGAGTCAGTATATAAAAATCAGTATGTTTTATTTAATATTCGTACACATGACAGCTTTTGTCACTGTGAGAAGACATGGTTTCTTTCGTGTACTCCACTGTGCTGTGATTCTAACAATCTACATTAGTATGATGTGTTCAGATGAAAAACAGAAAATTCAGTCATTCCGAGTTTAGAAATCCGGTCAGGGATTTTATTGGCTGGAGTAATAGTTCAAAGGAGTGAAAATTCAAGCATGTAATTTTTGGATTTGATTTCCTCCATAATGATTTCCTCCATAATGGCTTTTTTTCAAGCATGGTCTAATTTTTCAGAAAATGGCCATTATCTCCAAGCTTCCATTGTCCATGTAGTTTCAGTGGCAGGAGAGAGACTATTTTCCTCCCAGTGTCCATGTCAGTTCCCCAAAAGGACTGAATAGCCATGTTGGTTTTGGAGCCAGCCGTAATCCAATCTGTATTTCCAAGGAAATGGGGTTCTTTGTCTCCCAGCATTGGGAAGCAAGAGAGGCACATGTTATGGTCACCTCTGTGAGGATTACATCAGGAAGGACAGTCTCCAAAAGACATGGACAGAGGAAATTTAGCAGATGTCCATTAAATCAGGATCTCATACAAGTTATAACACCTGAATGTTTGACTTTTCAGAGTATTTTGCCATCACAGGTGTGGCATCTTGCCCTTGGATATATCTACATTCTGCTGTAGAATGTCGTGGTCTTTCTGAGGGTCACATACATCCTGTCTTGTCATAATGTTAACCATTAAGAGTCCTCAGGGGCATGGAATTGAAGAAGGAACTGTTGCCAGCAGTTAACTGACCAAGCTAGAGTTCCCTGACCCAACGTAAGGGTGACTGTGACACACATGGATAATTTTAGCTTCATGTTTAAGATTTTGTTATTTGGGTAGGAAACATTCCAAATGCAGTTTGAAACACATATTAAAATTGAGGCACACAGGAAAGAACTGGCTCAAGTTTAGTCCCCAAGTTCCTTATAGTAGGAATAGGAATCCTTAGAGTATAAGCAATCCATGCATAGTATTCTGTTATCTATCATGTAGATCATTTAATCTCTAATTTTTTGGGGTGGGGATTCTCTTGTTTCTAAATCTTACACTTTCAGTTTCTTCTGTGTCTTAAATATAGATTATTGACTATTGTCTTAAATACTAATAAATACATTAAATGTATCTTAAATACTACTATGTCTTAAACACAGACTATTGACTATTAAATATTTTCATTTGTAACCTTCATACTGGAGATTTGAAAGACAGTCAAAAATAATAGCTCTGAAAAGCTAAGGAATATACAATGTAAAAAAATGTAAGACTGGGTGCAGTGGCTCACGCCTGTAATCCCAACACTTTGGGAGGCCAAGATGGGTGGATCACCTGAGGTCAGGCATTCAAGACCATCCTGGCCAACATAGTGACACCCCTCCTCTACTAAAAACACAAAAATTAGTGGGGCATGGTGGCGCATGCCTGTAATCCCAGGTACTCAAGAGGCTGAGGCAGGAGAATCGCCTGAACCCGGGAGGCAGATGTTGCAGTGAACCAAGATTGTGCCATTGCCTTCCAGCCTGGGCGACAAAGCAAGAGTCCGTCTCAAAAAAAAAAAAAAAAAGTAAGTTATGGCAACAAAAATATAAATTGTTGGGAAGAGGGTAAAAATCTAGAATAATTCTATATGATCTGTGTTGTTACCAGCTTAAAATAGTGTATTACAACTGTAACATTTTATGTAAGCCCATGGTAACCACAAACCAAAAAATTACAACAGATACACAAACAATGATAAAGGACAAAGCTTATTAGCACTACAGAAAATTACCATATCACAAAGGTAAACAACAAGAGAGGACGAAATGAACAAAGAATCTACAAAACAACTAGAAAACAATTTTAAAATGGCAAAATAGGTCCTTACCTATCAATAATAACCTTGATTTTAAATGAATTAAATTATCCAGTAAAGAGTGGTTGAATGGATTAAAAAACAATGTAACTGAGCTGCCTAAAAGAGACCCACTTCAGCTTCCAGAACACACAAAAGTTGGAAGTATAAGAATGGGAAAATCCATACAAATAGTAACCAAAAAAGAGCAGGGATGGCGTAATATACATTAGATAAAAGAAACTTCAAGGTAAAAGCTGTTACAAAAACAAAGATGGTCATTAATGATAAAGCGGCCAATTCATCAAGATGACATAAGAATTATATATGCACCCAATAACAAAGCACCTAAATACATATAGAAAGTATTGGCTGGGCGCGATGGCTCACACCTGTAATCCCAACACTTTGGGAGGCTGAGGCGGGCAGATCACCTGAGGTGAGGAGTTTGAGACCAGCCTGACCAACATGGCAAAACCCCATCTTTACTAAAAACACAAAAATTAGCTGGGTGTGGTGGTGGGCACCTGCAACTCCAACTACTCGGGAAGCTGAGACAGGAGAATCTCTTAAACCTGGGAGGCGGAGGTTGCAGTGAACTGAGATCACACCATTGCACTCCAGCTTGGGCAACAGAGCGAGACTCCATCTCAAAAAAAAAAAAAAAAAATGTACGTGAAGGAAAAATAGATAGCAGTACAATAATAGTTGGTGATCTTAGTACCCCGCCTTAAACACTGAATAGCTCAACTAAACAGAAAATTAAGCAAATACTGGGTTTGACCAAATGGACCTAACAGACATACAGAACTTTCCATCCAAGAACAGCAGAATATACATTTCTTTTCTAGTGCACATACCACATTATGTCTCAAAAAGCTAGAAAAAGAACTAAAGCCAAAGTTAGCAAAAGGAGGAAAATAATACAAATCAGTAAAACAGAGAACAAAAACACAGAAAAAAGCAAAAAAGTAATCTTTGAAAAAATAAGATCAGCAAAATACTAGCTAGACTATGACAAAAAGAGGAAAGACCCAAATAAATAAAACCAAACATGAAAATGGAGACATTACACCAGATGCCTCACAAGTAAAGTATTATAAGGCCTATTATAAATATATGCAACAAATTGGATAATCTAGAAAAAAATAGATAAATTCCTGGAAAAATATAACCTACCAAGATTGAGTCAGGAAGAAGTAGAAAACTTGAACCAATCCAACAAATCAGTTGAAGAAGTCATTAAAAACCTTCCAACCAAGAATAGCACAGGACCAGAAGGTTTCATGGCCAAATTGTACCAAATGTTCATAAAAGAATCTATCAATACTTCTTAAACTCGGTCAAAAAGTAGAAATAGAGGAGATACTTCCAAACATTTCATGGCATCAGAATCACTTTCATATCCAAGGCAGACAAAGACACTGTAAGAAAAGATAGCTATAGGGCAATATTTCTAATGAACATTGATACACTAATCTTTAATAAAATATTAGCAAACAACTAAACAACACATCAAAAAGAACATACATCATGACAAGTGAGATTTAACCCTGGCATGCAAGCCTGGTTTATCATATACAATCAATGTGACATGTGAATTATGAGAATGTTAAAAACCACATGTTCCTTTCAAATGATGCAGGAAAAGAAGTTAACAAAGTTCTGCATCTTTCCCAATAAAGACTTTCAAGTATAGAAGTAAAGTTTCTCAAAATAGTAAAAGTCATTTATAAAAAACACACACAGATAATATTACATCAGTGGGGAACGACTGAAAGTTTTTCCAGTAAGATCTGGTATCAGGGGAGGATTCTCACTCTAATCACTTCTATTCAACATTGTACTTGAAAGATTAGCAAGAGCAATTAAATAAGTAAAAGAAATAAAAGGCATCTAAATCAGAGGTAAAACTATCCCTATTTGCAGATGATATGATCCTATATGTTGAAAACCCTTAAAGATGCTTAAAAAACACTGTTGGAGTAAATCAGAAAAGTTGCAGGATACCAAATCAACATGGAAACAAAAGTAACATTTCTATAGACAGATAATCACCTAACTAAAAAAGGAATCAAGAAAACAATCCCATTTATAATAGCACCCAGAAAAACAATACATTTAACCAAGAAGGTAAAAGATTTGTACAAGGAAAACTATGAAATACAGATCAAAGAAATTGAAGACACAAATAAATGGAATGATATCTCTTATTTATTCATGGGATTAATATTTTTTAAATGTCCATACTACACAGTGCAATACATGGATTCAACACTATCTGTACCGAAAGTTTAATGGCATTTTTTACAGAAATAGAAACAAAAATTCTAAAATTTCTATGGAACCACACATACACAGACAGACACACACGCACAAACTGAAGAGCTAAAGAAATACTGAGAAAGATAAAGTTGGGGGCATCATACTTCCTGATTTAAAGTTATGTTACGAAGGTATAATAAACAGAATTACACTGGTAAAAAACAGAAACATGGACTAATGGAAGAGAATAGAGAGCAAAGAAATAAATGCAAACATACATGGTCAACTAAATTTCGACCAAGGCACCAAGTGGACGCAAAGGGGAAAGTATAGTCTCCAATAAATGGTGCTGGGAAAACTGTATTTCCACCTGCAAAAGAATGAAAAAGAACTCTTATCTCACACTATACATGTGAGATACACAACAAAAACCAGCTCAAAATGAATAAAACACCTAAATGTAAGACCTGAAGCCATAAAACTCCTAGAAGAAAACATAAGGGAAAATCTCTTCAACATTGGCCTTGGCAGTGATTTTCTGGATATCATACTAATAGTTCAGATTACAAAAGCAAAATATGTAAGTGGGATTACATCAAATTTAAATGCTTCTTCACATCAAAGGAAACAATCAACAAAATAAAAAGGCAGCCTACAGACTGGGAAAAATATTTGCAAATTGCATATCTGATAAGGGGTTAATACCCCAAATTTATAAAGAACTCTTACAACTCAATACCGAAAATACATGAATAACCCTATTAAAAATGGACAAAGGACCTGACCAGAAATTTCTCTAAAGAAAACAAAAATAGCCAATAGGCATATTAAAAATTGCTCAACATCACTAATCATCAGAGAAATACAAATGAAACCACTATGAGATATCATCTCACATCCGTAAGAATAGCTGTTATCAAAAAGACAAGAGACAAAAAATGCTGGTGAGAGTATGGAGAAAATAGTGAACCCTAGTTCGCTATCGGTAAGACTGCAGAATGGTGCAATCATTATGAAAAACTGTATGGAGTTTCCTAAAGAAATTAAAAATAGACTACCATATGAC